>NC_000001.11:247850788-248002303 GCF_000001405.40 Homo sapiens | reverse complement strand
TACACTTAAAAAGGTTAAACTGGTGTTTCTCTTATGTATATTTGCCCTAATAAAAAATCACTTAAATTTACTGAAATTATTCCAATTTGGATTTCCAAATACATTTTTAAAAAATCTTGGCAGGTTTCTAAGCCTCTGCAGAGCAATTTATTTTCAGGTATTTTATGACATTGGTAATTAAAAAAAAATTTAGAAGAGAAAATTATTTTCATAAATGTCATTTGGAATCAATAGGAGATTGGCATTAAGACAAATCCAATACTATATACAGATCCAATACAATATAATTTATATTATTGGTTAATTATTGGTAAGTAGAACATGTAATATTTGAAATTGTTAACACAATTTACATTTCAAACATTTCTATCATTTGTATTTTACAGAGGGCTGTCTAAGACAAACTGTCCAAGATATGGTTTACATTATCCTAATTTTAAAGAGAGGAAAAAGGAACATAAAACAGCATAATAAATGACACATCAGATCTGATATTTAATGCTGTGTTTTAGGACTGCCAATGTATCATCTTTTTATTATCCATGTTCCAGGGTTTTAATATTCTAATGTCCTATTATATAATATTATTTAAATAAAATGAGAGGCTGGTTCCTGACAGGAAAGCAGCCTCAGCCATGATGTTTCTGTTTCAATAATGTGAACAGGATATATTTTTCTTATGTAAAATATAAGAAATTTTATTCTTTTATTTACAGAAATAGTCCTTTTATTATTTTTTTTATTTACAGAAATAGCTATATTTTATTTTTTTATTTACAGAAATAGCTATAAAGAAGGTATTTAAGCCAACTAAGAAACATCTTTACTTGCTTTTACTTTCTTTTCACTAAAAATTCAGTATACAGGTGTCAGCATTAATGAAATAATACACAGGAGGAAAAAACAAGCAGAAAAAGTTGTAGTCGAGATTTCAGAGTGAGTAGGACCCACAAACCTTAAACCTGAACTACGTCTCACATGAAAGGAAGGAGGGAGGCGTGAACTTTCACAGACTCTCTCCACATATTGGCACCTGGAACGTCACAGCATTCATTCCTTGATTCTGTTGGAGTTCATCAAAATAACTCTTCAGATTGGTATCGCCACTGACATTTTATAGATGATGAAACTGAGATTCAGAGATTTTCAGTAAACTTCTCTAGATCCACAAACACACATACATATATGCATATGTATGTACACACACACAAACCTATGAGTAAATGTCACACCTACATAAATAAACATACATTAATATAAACCTTTTAAAAATGTGTGGTGTAGTTCATCCCTCAAAAATTTTTGGCAGTAAATCTGAAATAACGGTGGCTCACTTTTTAATCACCCAAAACAAAAGGAAAAGAAAAAAAATTAAATTTATTAAGTCAAAAACTCCATATAAGTGGTAAATAATTGAGAAAGTATAAAAAATTAAAAACAAGTAGAATTATTTTAATAATTAAACTTTACTCATTACAATTCTTCTGTTTCCTCATATCACCTGTTTTTAATGTACTTTAACTTCACCTGGCAACAGTTATGTATCTTCACAGAAAAACGGTTTCTCAGAAACTCTAAATGAAAGACATTTTCTGTCTTGTTCCCAATGTAAAAGTTTCCCTACTGGAAGAATTCAGTTAAAAAAAAAAACAGCCATATAATCTCCTGTGTAAATCAAGTTGAGGATGTACATATTCAGCATAATAATTACAATTCTCCAAAAGCTGCCAAAGTTTCAAATGAAGAACCTATTACTAACTTTTGAAGTCAAAAAGCATCATTGCGTTGCATGGATCTCTTTCCTATCCTTCAATTTAGAGTTGAAAGTAAGATGAAGAAAGTACTCTAATTTAGTGATTCATACATTCACAGAAGACAAAGATTTTTCACCTATAGTCTACTTATCACAAGGAAGAATCACTGAATCACAGGATTTGAAGAGAGTTACTCATGACTGTGCAGTGACCTAGTGACAGAGTTGGGAACCAAGGAGGATGGTCTTCTTGAGTTCAGATTCTGCAGTTTTCTACTGGGGCACAGATTTTCCTCCCTATACTTTCCTCAGCTTTGATCAAACAGAAAAACCATTATTCATCACAAAATAAGGCTGGTCTCCTTAAAATTGATAGGATTATTTGCATAGGTGCAGAAAAACTGGATTTACACACACACACACACACCAAAAAAAAAAAAAGAAAGAAAAAGAAAAAGCTAGGAAGGCAGGGGCACAAGTTGGCTTACCTGCAAGATTTATAAGAAATCAGATGGAACTTCTAAAAGTCTGCAAAATCCAAGACACTCATTATGGGATTTTCCAGAATCTGGATTACTTTCTCTCTTCTGAAGTGATATCTGTAATATCCTAAAGTTCTGAATCTTTGAAACTTCCAGAAAGTGATCTCCCTACTAACACATAGAGCTGGAAAATGGTAAAACAGGAAATAGCATCAGTTTCACTGAAATGGCAGTGAAGTCATTGACTCCATGAGTCACTCTTAATTCCTTAAAACAAGCTGTCTGTACCTGAATCTGCATGTCTTTAGTAAGAATTATTTCACATTGACAGCACTTGTCTAGAATGTCAATCAGATGACACAGAAGAGTGTCCTCTGGAGTCTAGACAAGGATGGCTCTCCACAGCATCCTGGCATGGAATCCTATAGGAGATTCCTCCTTCCTTCAAGTTCCTCCACAATAGATTCTCCTAAGAAGAGACACAGTACATAATGTTGTAGGTAACTGACATAGGAATAACTGGTCTTACACATATTTACACAATGTGTATATTTAATTGTTGAGAAGGGTATGAAGTTGGAGAACCATAACTCTTTCAGGTGTAAAGGAGTAAAGAATGTAAAGTGAGTATTTGCTTGTGTGCATGTGTGCTTCCAAGTCACAACCTGCATTGAGGCCCACAATAGTGCATCAGCTCTCACAGATAGATACACCAGTAAGTACGTAGACAGACATTTCCATGGATATATAGAAACTGATTATGAAAGTATATCCTTTGTCTGTTATTTTGGAATGAGGATGTGCTTACTCTGCTTCACTGGGTAAGTTCAAGGGACAGAGGCTCCATTTAAAATTAAATCAAATTCTATCTCTTACAATTACTAGAAATGTAAGCTTTTGTTGATGAATGTCTGACCCTGTAGTTTATAATTACAACAGGGGGAAGAATCCATGGGTTACCAGGAGCTGTCTGTGAGATAGTGAACGTGTCTTACTTGACTGGGTGTATCACTGAAGAGAAGCTGCAAGTTTCAGCATTTTCCTCATTACCCTTGCCCTCATCATCAAGATAATCACTATCACTTACATCCACACACTTGTTATCTGCTATGACTGTTGAATAATAAAGCTTCACATTGTTTCCACATGCTCTGCTCATTTGCTTCTCACAAAAACTCTGCGTGGTTGTTAAGGCAGATATTTCTATTATTTCACTGAAACTTTACCATATGTACCAAAAGAAAAAATTAATACATTGTAAATATTAAAAGCACAAAGCACTACAATTTGGCACAAATTGTGTGTAAAAACAAAATCCGGATAACCATAGCACAGCTACTAATCATGCAGTTACCTTCATTATTTATTTCCAGAAGAAGGTCCTTCTTTTAAGAAAATGTATCATTGCACTACAGACTGGTAATTTTAACCATTCTCATTGTGCCTTTACTTTAATGCCCTTTTAACGTTTTTATGCAAAGACAACACTAGTACTTTCTAGGTATTTCATTAGACAGGCTGGATTCATATAAGGTAAAATACAAAGTGAGAAGCAGCAATAAGATTATAATGAGCATGACATAATCACTGATCATTCAGGACAAAATAAATCAAACAAAAACAAAACAAAACAAAACACCAACCAAGTAGGAATGAGGAAATGTTGCCCCCTACAATAATTATTGTGAATGTGGGTTAATTTCACTGGATCCTATAAAAGCATAGTCTAATTTATCCCTATCTCTTCCATTGATCATCACCTCCCTTCCCCTCTAGAAAACACACTTATGAATTAGCTGCAAAACCACTTTTTGTTGCCTGTATTTCACACTCCAAGATTTCTGCTGACGTGTTACAGAAAGTACAGTCACTAGTGCTGAAATTCACCTCAATTCTATTTCTGAAACAAAGTCCTCTTAAGCACTTGCCAGAGTCCCTTCTTCCCTGGGATCAATAAAAATTTTAAAATACAATTATAAGTAGTACCTTTATTATTTCCTCATTATCAAACATTCATGCCTTGCTTAGCTGATGGCAGTCCTGTAGTCATCATAGAAACAAAGTCATTTTTCTGAGTAAGAATTAAGAATATTTTTTAAAGAAATGTATATATTCATTCATCATCCCTACACATGAGATATCAGAGACTTTCATGGGAATTCAGTAGCAATCATGAATCCAGTCCTTTTTACCTGGAGAATGAGATTAACAGTTGTTTTGCTGGTATTCACTAGGGAATGTCCACTGAAACTTTGGACATTGTAGGCTAAGTCACTAATGTCAGAGGATGGCCTTAGTCCAACGTTCAGAAATGAGTTCTGATAATGTATTTAGATGTTTCAAGGCATGTCAAGGGTAAACTCAGTGGAGAAAGAAACAAATATATTTATTCACATTATTTCAGTTTTTTTTGTTTCTAAACTTCATGAAACTCTATAGCTTGAATGTTGTTATTCAGGCATCCACAGTAACAATGTGTCTGCATTCACTAATTTCTCTCTCAGTTTGGTTTATATTGGCAGTAAGATTTAAACCACTAAAATAGAATGAGGTTAATTTAATAGAAACACATAAGTAGAAATTATTAAAATATCGCATACATGGGAGTTATCTTCTAACATATTTTAGGTATTATACACATTCAAATTGTTTCTTTTAATTTGGAAATGCTCACTAAATTATAAAGTGATTTTCTCCTATTAAATCAGATGATAAAATGATGTTACTCTGCTTTATTAATATTTAGAAAATAGTAATTGAATAAATTTTTATTCAGTAGAGTGCTTTAAGTGTTCTCTAATTTCTTGTTTCTAGTAAATGAATAAATTATACCACCTACATGGGAAAAAAGGTATTAGTTCATTTTAATTTTTTTGAATGTTAAAAGTATTTGAATTTCTCCACATGGATTTAATAGATAAATTATTTGACACATTTTGATATGTATTTTTATTTATATTTATTTTGATATGCATAGGCTAGTCAGATGAAGCAGTGGGAGTGGAAAGGAACCAAGAAACCTGTAACTGGTTGTGATCAATTGTAAACACCACTGCACTCAGACCAGCCAATTTGATATATTAATGCACGTATATGCTGTATAATGATCCAGTCAGGGTAGTTGGTGTACATTCTTGGAAATGACAATTTCCTGAAAGTCAGAATGTACAGATGTTTCAATATTCCTGCATTTGAAAAGCTGAAAATTTTTTTTGTCAAGTTTAAAACCTTGGCTATTAACATAATAGTAGGTGCCATGTCTAGTGCAACCAGGGAACTGTTTCCACATCTTCAAAAGACAGATGACAAAACCTATTTGTGCTGAAAGAGGAGGTAAGAATCCTTATTTGATGTGGGAAGACAGACTTCAAGGGAATTTCTGTAAAAAAAAGAAAGATGTTTAGGTGTACCTCACAACTACCCACAAGGGTTATGTATGCAAATATGGGGGATATAAGTCAGCAACTTACTCCTGAAATACCCAGTTTTCCCTGAGAGTTTTCTGGACATAGAAATTGACTATTTTACACTTCTACAGTACAAAGCACAAAACCAAGCATAGAGTAGGCCACAACTTGGTTTATTCTGAAAGAAGAGTTTAGAAAAAGAGTGTAAATAAAACTGAGCTCTTTATTTTACATTTTTAGATGTCTGTGTTCAGTGCATTTGAATTATTCATTAAATCACATGGATCTTTAAATGCATAATCATATTTACCAATTTGGAAAAGAAGTCCCATTCTATGTCCCAAAGATACAAGATTCAGGTGATAAGCATTTATGTCAAATGTTTGTAAAAGAGCAGGGCGCAGTGGCACAGGCCTGTCATTCCACCTATGGGGAGACTGAGGCAGGAGGATTGTTTTAGGCCCACAGGGTTCAATTGCCCATGGAGTGGTAGCAGACCAAAACACCAAAACAGTAGAAGTTGAGAAGAGAAAGAGTTTAACAATCGTAGGTCAGCTGAAGGAGGAAGAGGAAGGATGCCTCAAATCAGCCTTCTGGAGATGCTTGGGGATGGCATTTTTAAGGAGTCTGGATGAGTGATGAGCTAACATGTGGGGATTGCTGATTGGTGGAGAAGCGAGTGGTGAAGTCATAAGACAGGGAGATGAAGACTCTGCATCCTGCACTGAGTCAGTTTCTCAGACAAGCTCTGCAGACCCACTGCGTCAGTGGACCCATTGTAATTCGGGATCTGGAAAACATTTTAAACAGAAAACTTGAGGTTTCCTAAAATTAAAGATGATATGTAAAGAAGCAATTAAGGGAAGTGAGGACCTGGTGACAAGGACCAGCCTGGGCAACAGAAGGACATGATGTCTCAAAAAAATAAATAAACAAAAAATAAATGCTAGAGGAATTATAAAATAAATCATTCCGATGAATATTGACTGAGATGTGGATAGGTTTCTGCTCTTCATAAATAGACATATGTATAGTAAAATATGTTTCATTAATGAATCAAGAAATCTGATATAGAAAATATTTTGTTATTCCACTAATTATGCTCTAGATTGTATAAAATCACACTGAAACACAAAAATTTTTTCTATAAACACTTTGCAGGCTGACTCTAATTATTATGTGAAAATGCAATGGGCTAAGAATAACTAAGCATGCTTTGAGCTATGAATAGGTTGAATGCAGAGCAGGTACTCAAGTGCAACATCTGGGCATGTGAAGAGGAAAAGAGCAAGCCACTGATGGTAACAGATAATAGTCTGTGGAGCCATAGAGAACAGAGATTGTTACAATACATCTTGATGACACATGTTATTATTAGAAATAGTGGGATCTATGAGAGTGGAAGGGAAAGATAGAGTTTAACAAGTACATTCAGAATGCTTCCTTGTGTAGATGATACCTGATGTTTACACTGAGAAAAGGGAGTGATGAGGATTCATGCAGTGAAAGAACTTTATGAGAATAGAGAACAATGCATTAAAGATAAAAGCTATTGGACCTAATGTCATGAGGACTGGCTTTTCAAAACTTGTTCAGAGAACTGCATTCAATTTAACATGAAGAGAACATAAAGTTCCAGGTAGAGTCAGATGAAGGAAGGAATTAGCCAATGGAGAGAATTACATACCATACTAAGGAAAGTGAGATCATCAAAATATATTTTAATTAGATAATTCCAGGAATAATTCAAGTCAGTCTGATTGAGTGTTGATTTTATTAAAGATGTACCAGAAAATGTTTTATTTTATTAAAGATATACAACATGTTGTTTGACATTCATATACATATTGAAATGATTACCACACTCAACTTATACAGCATGTTCCATAGTTATGATTTTTTTTACTAAGAACACTTAAAACCCACTGTCTTAGCAAAATTTCAATATATAATACAATAGTATTAACCATAGTCTTCATCAGCTATCTAGACTTACTCATCCTACATAACTTCAAGTTTGTAGCATTTGACCTACGCTCTTTCTCTCCCTCCCCACTGCTAGTAACCACCATTTTACTCTCTGTTTCTATCTATTCCACTTATTTTTAGACCCAAAATATAAGTAAGATCATGTAGTATTTCTGTGTGTGTGTCTGAGAGCCAGTCTGGATTGAAGGACAGAAAGAAGAGAAACCAAGACTTGTAGTGTTAGGCTACAGTCATAGTAACATAATCACTCCCAGTTCTTTTTGTTTGTTTGTTTTTGAGATGGAGTCTCGCTCTGTCGCCCCGGCTGGAGTGCAGTGGAGCGATATCAGCTCACTGCAAGCTCCGCCTCCCGGGTTCACGCCATTCTCCTGCCTCAGCCTCTCAAGCAGCCGGGACTACAGGCGCCCGCCACCACGCCCGGCTAATTTTTTGTATTTTTAGTAGAGACGGGGTTTTCACCGTGTTAGCCAGGATGGTCTCGATCTCCTGACCCTGTGATCCGCCCGCCTCGGCCTCCCAAAGTGCTGGGATTACAGGCTTGAGCTACCGTGCCCGGCCAATCACTCTCAGTTTTTCTCAGCTTCTGAGACCAAATGGGAATCAATTGTGGTTGGGATTCTCCCTAGGAAAGCTCCATGCCACAAAATCTGAAACATACAGGACCTTTAAGATGCCAAAGAGAATAAGAGACATTCCTGCATCCCTGCCACACATTGTGTTCGTTAATGAAATGAAGAGACAGCCTTTCTACACAGGTCTGAGTCACACTCCATCACTAGGTCCCACAGGTACCAATGCATGTCCATTGGTTTTACAAACTCTTTCATGACAAGGTCTCTCTCTCTTTCTTTCTCTTTCTTTCTCTCTCTCTCTCTCTCTCTCTCTCTCTCTCTCTCTCTCTCTCTCTCTCCCCCTCTCTCTGTCTCTTTCCATTCAGTGTCTGTCCAAATAGCACCACAGGAATTTGTTGGCTTAGCTGAGGAATCAAGATTAAATCATATCTACTTTTTTCACCTCCCATATCTGTTTCTCTAAGTATCATGCATACAACAAACTTTTTACATATCCCATATCTCCCTTATAATGATGATGTAAATAAATAAATGAGGGGCATGGTACTCCTGGTTCAGCAGAAAGTCTAGATTCCATTTACCATTCTTTATATATCTGAACTCACTTTTGACATGCCTCAGAGAGCAAACATTTCAATATCCATGATAGAACCTACACACTTATTCCTCTACCTGAGGAGTAACAATAGCAACAAAACAAAATTGACAAGAGGCACTTAATTAAACAAAAGAGCTTCTGCACAGAAAAAAAAAAAAAACAACGAGGAAACAGCCAACCTACAGAATAGGAAAAAATATTTGCACAGTATGCATCTGACAAAGATTAAATGTCCACAATCTGTAGGGAAGTTAAATAAATCAACAAGCAAAAAACTAACCCCATTAAAAATGCAGAAGTTACATGAACAACGAACAGACACATCTGTGAAGAAGACATACAAGTGGCCAAAAAACAAGAAAAATTACTCAGCATCACCAATCATCAGAGAAATGCAAATCAGAGCCACAATGAGAGACCATTTTATACCAGTCACTATGGCTATAATTAAAAAATCAAAAAAAACACCAGATGCTGGTGAAGCTGCAGAGAAAAGGGAATTCTTATACACTGTTGGTGGGAATGTAAATTAGCCCAGCCACTATGGAAAGCAGTCTGAAGAGTTCTCAAAATACTTAGAGATACCATTTGACCTAGAAATTCCAGTGCTCTGTATACACACACACACACACAAAATCATTCTACCAAAAAGTCACATGCATTCATTGCTCATTGCTGCACTATTCACAACAGCAAAGACCTACAATCAACCTAGGTGCCCATCAATAGTGAATTGGAATAAGAAAATATGCTACATATACACCATGAAACACTACACAGCTATAAAAAACAGTAAGAGCATACTGTTTGCAAGTGATAATGGATAGAGCTGGGGGCCATAATCCTAAGCAAATTGACTGAGGAAGAACAAACCAAATACAGAATGTTCTCACTTGTAAGTGGGAACTAAGCATTGGCCCACACATGGACATAAATATGGTGACAGCAGACACTGTGCCCTGCTAGAGGGAGGGGATGGGATTAAAAACTATTGATTGGGTACTATGTTCACTACCAGGTGACAGGATCCACACTCTAACTCTAAGCAACATGCAATATTCCCACGTAAAAATATCCACATGTACTCTCATACCTAAAATAGACGTTGAAATAAAACATATCTGCATATAACTTCAAACTCCCCCCATAACATAACTAATGATAGCCTACTGTTGACAGGAAGCCTTAAAAAATAACATAAATAATTAACTCACACTTTGTATCTTATATGTATTATATACTGTATTCTTACAGTAGAGTAAGCTAGAAAAAGAAAATCTTATGAAGAAAATCATCAGAAAGAGAAAACATATTTACTACTTATTTAGTGAATGTGGTTTGTCATGAAGATCTTCATCTATGTTGCCTTTACATTGAGTAGGCTGAGTAGTAGGAAGAGGAGGAGAGGTTGGTCTTGCTGTCTCAGGAGAGGCAGAGGCAGAAAAAAAACCACATGTAAGTGGACCTGTACAGTTCAGATCTATGTTGTTCAAGGACCAACTTCCTATCAGTCACTCACCACTGCTGTCACTTGGATAATTCGGGGCTTTTCTCATTTGCTCATTCTACCTTCCTTCTTGCCTCCTCTCCTCAGAGATTAAAGAGTTTCTCAGGAATGGGCTCTTCTGGAAAGCAATGGCCTTTCACTCAGAGAAAGGACCTAAGCGGATAACTTTTATGAAAATAACGTTGATCCTTTTGGGCACATGCCTAAGCATGTATAAAAATAGTGGAGCAGAGGAGCTGATCCCAAGTCATGCTAAATAGACCCGTTGATTTATGACAAGAGTAAGTAGAAATAAAATTGTGCAGAAGAGAATGTCTTGCACGAGAATACCAGTGGCTACTCACGAGGGAAACATTGAGTGTGTTGTGATGTGACTGCAAATGTTTTAAATAACCTACTTGACACCCAACTGAGTCTAAGTCAACTACAGTCTAAGAGGTTCTACAGAAGGTAGCTGTATAGAACCTCTTATAGGGAAACTCTTGTCTATCTAAAGCCAAGTAGACTGCTCCCCAGACATAATTATTTATCCTGAGGTAAACTTTTAATAGATCACTACTTTAGGAAAAAAATGAATATACGATCTATCTTTTGATAAAAAGAAACAAATACAAAACCAAAATAGGTGTCTTAGAATATGCAATTGAAATGCCAGACTAAATTAAAATACAAATCTTTTAGATTAATTTCCGTTTGACATACTGGGCATGTAATAATATTTTCCTTAACCGCCGTACACTGCTGAGTTGATATGAACCTAGCGCTTTGACTCTAAGGCAGAACGTATGTCTATATTTTCACTGAAAAGATTTTCTGAATCACTCGTGTCAGGGCCCCCATCACCTCCTTGTTTCTCAGGCTGTAGATGATGGGGTTGAGCATTGGAGTGAGGATGGTGTAGAAGACAGCCAGAACCTTGTCCTCTGTCGGAGATCGCAGGGATCTTGGGCGTAGATAGGTATAAGCAAAGGGTGCATAGTAGAAAGTCACTACAGTGAGGTGGGTGCTGCAGGTCGAATAGGCCTTCTTCCTCCCTTCTGCAGAGTGCATGTGGTAGACAGCAAGGAGAATCCGGCCATAGGAACATGCAATACAAATGAAGGGAAACACAAGAAAAATGGTGGTGCTCAAAAACACCGTGCACTCATAGACCCAGGTATCCGTGCAGGCTAGGGTCAACATAGCTGGAACATCACAGAAAAAATGATTGATGGCTCTGGACTTGCAATATGGGATACGGAGTGCATATACCGTGTGAGCACAAGAGTTGATGGAGCCTATCATCCAAGATCCTGTTATCATCAGTGCACACACTCTTTTTCTCATACGGATGGGATAGTGGAGAGGAAAGCAAATAGCCACATAACGATCATAGGCCATTGATGTCAGGAGCAGCGCTTCTGCACCTGCTAAAGTCAGGAAGAAGAAACTCTGAATCCCACACCCAGTGAAGGAGATAGACTTGTTTCCATACAGAAAAATCATAAACCATCTTAGGAACAATGGTGGAAATATAATTTAGGTCAATGAGGGAGAGCTGACTAAGTAGGAAATACATGGGTGTGTGGAGATGGATGTCCAAGAAGATGAGAAGAATCATGGATAGGTTTCCAATTAGAGCCATTAGGAAAACGAAATTAATGAGAATGAAGATGAAATGGCCAATTTTTGGTGGTGGCGACAATCCCAACAAGATGAAAGCAGTTGATGTTTGATTGTAATTTTCCATGGAGCATTCATATGATCCTTCCTGAAGGGAGACACAAGGGTAAGTGAAGTACAGTAGTTCCCCCTTATCTGCAGGGGATGCATTTCAAGCCCGCCAGTGAATGCCTGAAATTGGGGTTTACACTGAACCCTATATACACTATTTTTGTATCAATAAATATATATTATAAAGTTTAATTTATAAATTAGGCAAGGAAGAGATTAACAAAAATAACTAAAAAGAAAACCAAACAATTATAATTATATACTGTAATAAAAGTTGTGTGAATGCAGTTTTTTTCTTTCTCTCAAAATATCTTATTGAACGGTGTTTATTTTTCTTCTGATGATAAAATGCTTCAGGGGAAGATAAAATGTCTACGTGATGAGATAAAGTGAGGGGAACAATGTAGGCACGGTAATGCAACATTGGGCTATGACTGAAAACAAATTTAAAATTTATGAAGTGCTCATTTGTGGAATTTTCCATGCAATCTCAGATGACAGTTGATTTCAGGAGAAACCACAAAAAGCAAAGCAGTGGATAAGGGGGACTAGTTATAAAACAGTAAGCCAATAGTTTTTAAAAAGTCCTTAGTTTAGTTAGACTATGAATTATTTATACAATTTTACAACTCTTAAATGATGAAGTAATCTTTCCTATTTAGAAAAATATCTTATTTTGTCACCCAGAAATTATATTTTGTGAGAGAAATATTTATAACCACAATTTTTAATAAGAAATATATACATTTATAGGAAAAAACATTTCTCTTAAAACTTCAGTAGGATACAAATGTTTGCTGCCCAACACAAACTCAGATGTCATCAAGATCATTTGTTATTCTTAAAACATATGCATGCAACAGTAAATTTTATGCATATGTTATGGATCCATATTATGAACAATTTAGCACTACTTTTTCAGGATGATTTTTTTCTACATTTATTCTTTAAAACTGCAGCAGCCTATGGCTCATTTGGAGTAACTTATATTTCCTTCTTGAATTGTCTTTGCCTAATAATTCCAAGTCAAACTTTCATTAGTTAAACATCATTATTTGGTTCTTCTATTTAGAAATGTAGAATACATCCTTATTTCAAGTACCTTTTTCATGAAATGTAATTCATACAGTTCATTTTTAATGTCTACCACCATCCATTCTCTTTTGCCTTCTCATCCAATTTCAGAATTCTTAAGTTAGTGCAGACCCCCATCTGAATATCTATATGCCAAGTTCATTTTACCTTCCATGTCTCTGTTCACGCTCTCCCCAATAGAATGTGTATTCTGTATCTTTGCTCCCCTAATGCTTAGATTACATAGACTTTGTGGATCCTTCAAGTCTTATGAAAGGATCATAAGAATATTTATCAATTATTTAGGAGGATCCATAAAGTATAATGTAATCTAAGCATTAGGGAAGCAAAAACAATAAATTACTTTATGATCCTTCAAAAGAAGGGGTTTGGAGAAATGAACATTCACTTAAATGGAAAAAAGGAAGCAGCAACTTGACAGTTTCCTGGGTATAGGTGGTTCGAGCATTCTTCTCCAGATAGAAGACATCAGTGGACGACTTTGCACTGAATGCCTAAAAGGACTGAAGTCTTTAGGCTTAAATATTATTTTAGAGCCAAAGGTCAGCAGACCTTTGAGGAAGTGTAACAATGTGAAAGAGTAAGATCCACACAGTGTGCAAACACACATCTATACACACACACAAAGATGTACACTCACTTAAACATCAATACACATGTATATATACCCTGATTAAAATGATCAGAAACCTGCAAAAAGAATGATTTTTTAAAAATAAGAATTCCTATCTTTAGGAAGGAAAATATGTATGATATGTTATGAAATCCACAAAATAAATATCATTATCTATGTAAAAGGATGTGACAGGTAACGATAAATGACTCTTGGAAATTAAAAATACAATAATTGATAAAATTTAAATGAAAATTTCAAAAGACAAATTGGGAAAATTCTATCAGAAGGAAAAAAGAAAACAACCTAAAAGTATTGAAAATTAGAAGAGAGAGAAATATTAGAAAATTAATATAACAGGACCAACATATACTTACAGGCATTCCCAGAAATGCACATAGCAAATAATAATAAACTCAATATTGTAAAAAAAAAATTCTCAGAACTGAAATATATTAGCCACCATACTCAAATGGCATGTTAAATCACAAAGTGAGAAATATTTTCCTAGAAAAAATTTCATGAAAATTGTGTCTCCTTGAAAACACTTCTAAAAATTTTAATTATCTAGAGATAAAATATTAAGTTTTTGAGAGAAATAGTAGTAATAATAATCAGAAGAAATACATGCATGTATGTATTACCATCAGGTTTTACAAGAATATATATTTTTTGTATTTAATCAATAGATTCTATCAGATGAGATGATGTTGTCAACCCCTTGCTGCAGACATAAATTGGAATGTATTTATGTGGACAAAGTGGGAGAAGGGTAATGAGTTTGGGGGTAGTGATGCTGGGGGGAGCAGGTAACTAGTGACAGTGGCCTGTGTCATGAGTCAAGGGCTGGTATTTGAGATACTTAAATCAAGCATTAGCAGATAAGCATATTGTTTGAAAATACATGGGCAAAAACAGGGCAAGACTGGTAAGAAATTTTGAAGTCCTTATCTTTGGGGTCAGGAAGAGTTTGTTATGGGTCGAATATTTTAGCCTGCGGACTGTGGACACCATGTCTATGCATTACTTGAATAAAACATTAAAGTGATGTAAAAATTCTATCACGGTTAAGAATTTAACCCACAACTTCATGATAATAATGAGAATGACAATTTTTACTCTAGGATTTGGAACAAGACACAAATGTCCAATTTCACTGCATCTATTCAACATATTATTGGAAGTTCAGCCAAAGCAATAGAACAAAAGAAGAAAAAAAGTTATCTTAATTAAAAGAAAGGAAGCAGGATAATTTCTATTTGCATATGACATAACTATATATGTAGAAAGCCATAGGATTTTACACACTAAAAACTGTTACAAATAATTAACAAAATAAGCAAAATTGCAGCATGCAACAATAGTCAAAAGCTATTGACTTCTATATACTAACAATTTGCTGTGACCCATTGAATGTGACAGAAACAAAACTGTGTCTGTTTTGAGCCTAGGCTTCAAGTGGCTATACACTAACAACAAACAATCTGAAAGAGATTGTGATTTTATTTACAATAGTATCAAAAAAAATGAAACACTTAGGAATAAACATAACCAAGAAGGTAAAAGGCTTATACACTGAAAAATGACAAAATGTTGATTACAGCAATTAAAGAAGACACAAATAAATGGAAATATATCCTGTATTTATAGATTAGAAGGCTTAACACTGTTAAGATGTCAATAATATCCAAAGTTACTTAAAGATTCAATGAGAATAAAATACGTAGGAATACAACTTACAACGGACGTGAAGGACCTCTACAAGGAGAACAACAAACCACTGCTCAATGAAATGAAAGAGGATACAAACAAATGGAAGAACATTCCATGCTCATGGGTAGGAAGAATCAATATCGTGAAAATGGCCATAACCCCCAAGGTAATTTATAGATCCAATGCCATCCCCATCAAGCTACCAATGACTTTCTTCACAGAATTGGAAAAAACTACTTTAAAGTTCATATGGAACCAAAAAAGAGTCCTCATTGCCAAGTCAATCCTAAGCCAAAAGAACAAAGCTGGAGGCATCACACTACCTGACTTCAAACTATACTACAAGGCTACAGTAACCAAAACAGCATGGTACTGGTACCGAAACAGAGATATAGACCAATGGAACAGAACAGAGCCCACAGAAATAATGCCGCATATCTACAACCATCTGATCTTTGACAAACCTGACAAAAACAAGCAATGGGGAAAGGATTCCCTATTTAATAAATGGTGCGGGGAAAACTGGCTAGCCATATGTAGAAAGCTGAAGCTGGATCCCTTCCTTACACCTTATACAAAAATTAATTCAAGATGGATTAAAGACTTAAATGTCAGACTTAAAACCATAAAAACTCTAGAAGAAAACCTAGGCAATACCATTCAGGACACATAGGCATTGGCAAGGACTTCATGTCTAAAACACCAAAAGCAATGGCAACAAAAGCCAAAATTGACAAATGGGATCTAATTAAACTAAAGAGCTTCTGCACAGCAAAAGAAACTACCATCAGAGTGAACAGGCAACTTACGGAATGGGAGAAATTTTTTGCAATCTACTCATCTGACAAAGGGCTAATATCCAGAATCTACAATGAACTCAAACTAATTTACAAGAAAAAACAAACAACCCCATCAAAAAGTGGGTGAAAGATATGAACAGACACTTCTCAAAAGAAGACATTTATGCTGCCAACAGACACATGAAAAAATGCTTATCATCACTGTCCATCAGAGAAATGCAAATCAAAACCACAATGGGATACCATCTCACACCAGTTAGAATGGCGATCATTAAAAAGTCAGGAAACAACAGGTGCTGGAGAGGATGTGGAGAAATAGAAACATTTTTACACTGTTGGTGGGACTGTAAACTAGTTCAACCATTGTGGAAGTCAGTGTGGCGATTCCTCAGGGGTCTAGAACTAGAAATACCATTTGACCCAGCAATCCCATTACTGCGTATATAACCAAAGGATTATAAATCATGCTACTATAAAGACACATGCACACGTATGTTTATTGTGGCACTATTCACAGTAGCAAAGACTTGGAACCAATCCAAATGTCCAACAATAATAGGATGGATTAAGAAAATGTGGCACATATACACCATGGAATACTATGCAGCCATAAAAGTGATGAGTTCATGCCCTTTGTAGGGACATGGATGAAGCTGGAAACCATCATTCTCAGCAAACTATTGCAAGGACAAAAAAACCAAACACCGCATGTTCTCACCCATAGGTGGGAATTGAACAATGAGAACACATGGACACAGGAAGGGGAACATCACACACCGGGGCCTGTTGTGGGGTAGGGGGTAGGGGAAGGAGGGAGGGATGGCATTAGGAGATATACCTAATGTTAAATGATGAGTTGATGGGTGCAGCACACCAACATGGCACATGTATACATATGTAACTAACCTGCACATTGTGCACATGTACCCTAGAACTTAAAGTATTAAAAAAAAGAGTAAAAAATAATGTAGTAAGTACATATTCAGTTGTAAAAGTGAATGAAGTTTTGACACATGCTACAACATAGATAAATCTTGAATACATTATGCTCAGTGAAATAAGCCATGAAGAGGCAAATATTGTATGAATTCACCTACATGAAGTACCCAGAGTAGTCAAATTCATAGAGACAGAAAGTCGAATGCTGGAACCCAGGGGATAGCAGAAGGGAGACAGGGAGAATAATTGTGTAGGGAACAAAATTTTAGTTGGAGACAATGAAACTGTTCTGGAGATGCATGGTGGGGATGGTTGCACAACAACATAAATGTACTTAGTGCCACCGAATTCCACACTTAAAATAGTTAAAATGGTGCAGTTTACCTTATGCATATTTATCCTCATAAAAACATTAAAATGTACTGAAATTATTCCATATTTGGATTCCCAAATACATTTTAAGAAAATTCTGGCAAGTTTCTCAGCCTCTACAGAGCAAATTATTTCCAATTATTTTATGACCTCTGGTAATTTGTGAAGGACAATTCAGAAGAACAAATTATTTTCACATATGTCATTTGGAAACAGTACAAGATCAGCATTAATTGTGATGCAATAGTATGTAATTTATATTAGTAGTTTAGTTATTGGCAAGTAGAATATATACTGTTTGAAATTACTAACACAATTAACATTTCAAACATTTCTATCATTTGTATTTTATACAGGGCAGTCTATGATCAACTTTCCATGAGATAGTTATAGTCCTAACTTTAAAAAGAGAAAATGTAACATAGGACAGAATCCTAAATGGCACATCAGATCTCATATTTAATGCCACGTTTTAACTGACTACCTCATTTAAAAATAATAATAATAATAATAATAATAATGACTTATTTTCTCCTCCTCCCCCCACCTCCTACTTAACTGGTTAGGAATAAAAATATATCCTTTACTGTCTCCACCAGACGCGTTCTACAAGGCAAGTTTATATGACTTTGTGTTTACTTAGAAGTTCTAGAGACGGAACCTTGAAGCAAATCAGGCACCCTCAAAACTCCCTCCCACTAGGAGATTGCCTCAATTTACAACACAGCTCTGCCTGCGATGGTGCCAGCCAGACCACCGGGTAGAAAAGACATCAGAAGAAAATCACTGGACCCCCCATCTCCTCACTCCCTGCATGTCATTCACGCCAAGACCCCATTAAAAGACCCTGCCTACTGCCCCGAAAGGGGAAGCACTTCCCAATAAGGCAGACACCTGTCCTGCTTCCCCTCAGCTAAGCTTGGAAGAAAAAGTCACTTTCTTTCTACCAGACCTTGTTCTCGTTAATTGGACTTTGCAAGTCGTGAGTGGCAGGAGATATGTTCTGTGATGTTACAATATCTCTTGAACACCAATGTAGTGTCTCTTTGATTATTCACGTTCCACGGTTCTAATTCTATCATATTACATTATTTAAATAAAATTAGAGCCCTGTCACTAACAAGGAAGCAGTCTCAGCCATTATATATCTGTCTAAGTAATTTAAGGACATTTTTTTCTTAGATAAAAATAAATCCAAATGAGTTACTTCTGTCCCTTAGTTTTTTATCCACCAAAATAGCTATAAGTATTTTAAGCCCATTTAAAAACATATACACTTGCTTTTATTTTTGTAATTCTCATAAAATGTATATATCTAGGTGTCAGCATTAATGATGTTGTACACTGGAGAAAAAGCAAGCAGAAAAAATTCTGATGATGGTTTCATAGTGAGTAGGAAAACCAAACATTCAACCCGGGCGACGTCTGGCATGAAAGGAAGGATAATGGCATGAACTTTTACTGACTGTCTCCACACACTGGCACTTGCAATATGTCAGGATTTGTTCCATAATTCCATTAGATTTAATCCTAATAACAAACTCTTCACGTGGACATCACCACGACGTTTTATAGATGATGAAATTGAGATTCAGAGATTTTAAGTGGACTTATCCAGATTACACACAAACACACATACACATATGCATATATATACACACAAACAAACACATACACATATAAGTTGATATACACATATACATATTTATGCAAACATATAAATAAACATTATATATAAAAATAAACATTTACATAAACTTCTTTAAAATGTGTGGTCTATTTTATCCTTCAAATATTTTTAGGCAGTAAGTCTGAAATAAGGCTGGCTCACTTTAATTACCCAAAACAAAAATATAAGAGGTTAAATTTATTAAAATAAAAAAATCATTATAGATAGTAAATAACTGTGAAATAATAAAAATTTTTAAATCACAAATAAGGTTATTTTAATGATTAAAATTTAATCATTTCAACTTCTTCTATTTCCTCGTATCACCTGGTTTTACTGTGCTTTCACTTGATCCAGCAACAACCATACATTTTTATAGAAAAATGGTTTCTCAGAAACTCTAAAAGAAATGCAATTTCTGTCTTGTTCCCAATATAAAAGTTTCCCTACTGGAAGAATTCACTTACTAAAAAATACACATTTAATATACTACATAATCAAGTTGAGGATCTACATATTCAGCATAATAATTAAAATTCTCCAAACAGTGCCCACGTTTCAAATGAATTACATATCACTATCTTTTAAAGTCAGAATGCATCATTGCATTGCATAGATCTCTTTTTCCTATCCTTCAATTTAGAGTTGAAAATGAGATAATAAAAATAACCAAATTGTAGTGATTCATATATTCATAGAAGACAAAGATTTTTCAACTATATTCTCATTATCAGAAAGAGTAACTGAATCACAAGGATTTGAAGAGAGTTATTCATGACTGTGCAATGACCTAGTGATAGACTTGGGAACCAAGGAGGATGGTCCTCTTGAGTCCAGATACTGCAGTTTTCCACTAATTCAGAGATTTATGAAACCTACACTGTCCTCAGTTTTATCAAAACTATTTTCAAAGAAAAATTATTATTCATTACAAAATAAGGCTGCTCTACTTAAAATTGTTATTATGGGCCAGGCGCGGTGGCTCACGCTTGTAATCCCAGCACTTTGGGAGGCCGAGGCGGATGGATCACGAGGTCAGGAGATTGAGACCATCCTGGCTAACACGGTGAAACCCCGTCTCTACTAAAAATACAAAACATTAGCCGGGCGTGGTGGCGGGAGCCTGCAGTCCCAGCTACTCGGGAGGCTGAGGCAGGAGAATGGCGTGAACCCGGGAGGCGGAGCTTGCTGTGAGCTGAGATCACACCACTGCACTCCAGCCTGGGCGACAGAGCGAGACTCCGTCTCAAAAAAAAAAAAAAAATTGTTATTATGAGCAGTCTGTGACATAGTGAACATGTATTACTTGACTGAGGGTATCATTGAAGAGAAGCTGCAAGTTTAAGCATCTTTCTCATTATCAGTGCCCTCAACATCAAAATAATCACTATCACTTACACTCACACACTTGTTATCCGCTATGACTGTAGAATAATACAGCCTTCACATTGTTTCCACATACTATGCTCATTTGCTTCTCACAAAAACTCTGCATGGTTGTTAAAGCAGATATTTCTATTATTTCACTGGAAGTTTACATTGTGTCTTGAAGAAAAAATAAACACAATATAAAAATTAAAAGCACAAAGCACTATAATTTTGCACAAATTGGATGTAAAAACAAAATCTGGATAACCATATCACAGCTACTAATCATATGGTTACCTGCATTATTTATTTTCAGAAGAGGGTCCTTTATTTTAAAAAATATATATTATTGCTTTACAGATGGTAATTTTAACCATTCTCATTTTGCCTTTACCTTCATGTCATTTTAATATTTTTACGCAAAAACAACACTAGTACTTTCAGGTATTTTACTAGAAAGACTGGATTATTATATGTGGATTCATTAATTTGACTTGAGCCCATAAAAGCATATTCTAATGTAATTTAGCCCCATCTCTTCCATGAACATCATTTAGCTTCCCATCCAGAAAACACATTTATGAGTTAGCAGCAAAACCACTGTTGGTTGTCTGCATTCTATACTCCAGGATTTCTGCTGAATTTTGTTAACAGAAAGTACAGTCACTATTGCTCAGACTTCAATTCTATTTCTGAAACAAAGTTCTCTTAAGCAGTTGCCAGAGTCCCTTCTTCCCTGTGATCAATAAAAATTTTAAAATACAAATATAATTAGTACCTTTTATTATCTCCTCAATTTCAAACACACACTGCCTTGGTTAGCTGTGAGGAGTCGTACAGGCATCATATGAACAGTCATTTTTCTGAGCAAGATCTCTGAATGCTTTTTAAAGAAAGGTATGTATTCATTTTCATCCCTACACTTGAGATTTTAGAGAGCTTCATGGTGATTCAGTAGCAACCATGATTCCGGTGTTTCTTTACCTGAAGAACAAGTTTAATGACTGTTTTGCTAGGATTCACCGGGGAATGTCCACTGAGAGTTTGGACATTCTAGGCTGAATCACTAATAACATAGGATGGCCTTAGTCCAACGTTTAGAAATGAGTTATGATAATGTATTTAGATGTTTCAAGTCACGTCAAAGGTAAACTCACTGGGAAAAGAAACAATTATGTTTATTCAGGTTTTACTAATGCATTTGTGTCTCTAATAGTTTATGAAATCCTACATTTTATATGTTGTTATTCACTGCATTCATACCAATGATATCTCTGTATATATTAATTTCTTTCCCAATTTAGTTTATACTGGCAGTAAGTTTTAGAACATAAAAGTGGAACTATGTTAATTTACTTAAAACACATAAGTAGAAGGTATTAAAATATCACATATTGGAGTTATCTTTAACATATTTTAAGTATATGTTTATATTGTTTCTTTTATTCTGGAAATGCCCATTAAATTTTAAAACAATTTTCTGTTATTAAAATTGATGATAAAAATGATGCAACTATTGATTGTGGTATAATACTATCTAGGGTATATTTAGTAATTAAATTTTTATGCCAAAGAGTATCTTAAATGTACTCAAATTTTCCATGGTTTCCAGTAAATTAATTATGCCTTCTATCTTGAAAAAGTAACATTAGTCCATTTTATATATTTGGAATTTTATAAATGTTTTTAAGAAATATTTATTTAGTTGATACACTGTTATTGTATGAATTTATGGGTTACAATTTGATGTTTTTATACAAGTGTATGTTATATAATGATCTAATCAGGGTAGGTAGCAAAGAAAATTTCCTGAAAATCAAACACAACTGTTTCAATATTCTTGCATTTGAAAATCTAAAGAATTTCTTTACCTTTTAAACCATGCCTTTGAACATAACAGTAGATGCCACATCTAGGAGTCGTTTCCAAGATGGCCAAATATGAACACAGCCAGTCTACATCTCCCAGCGGGACCAACAGAGAAGACAAGTGATTTCTGGATTTCCAACTGAGGTACCTGGTTCATCTCATTGGGACAGGCTGGACAGTGGGTGCAGCCCACGGAGGTCAAGCTGAAGACACATGCATACATATGTTTCTTGCAGCACTATTCACAATAGCAAAGACTTTGAACCAACCCAAATGTCCATCAATAATAGACTGGATAAAAAAAATGTGGCACATATACACCATGAAATACTATACAGCTATAAAAAAGGATGAGTTCATGTCCTTTGCAGGGACATGGACGAAGCTGGAAACCATCATTCTCAGCAAAATATCACAAGGACAGAAAACCAAACACCACATATTCTCACTCATAACTGGGAGTTGAACAATGAGAACACATGAACACAGGGAGGGGAACATCACACACTGGGGCCTTTTGGGGGGTGGTGGCCTGAGGGAGGGATAGCATTAGGAGAAATACCTAATGTAAATGACAAGTTGATGGGTGCAGCAAACCACATGGCACATGTATACATGTGTAACAAACCTGCACGTTATGCACATGTACCCTAGAACTTAAAGTATAATAATATAAAAGAAGATGCCACATTTAGTGCACATTGTACACTGTTTTTATATCTTCTTTAGTAGACAAAACACATTTGTGCTGAATAAGGAAGGAAGAATCCTTATTTGATGTGGGAAAAGGTGATTTGAGAGGATTTCTGTATGAAAGAAAGACTTTATAGGTCATGACTCAAGACTACCCACTGGGATCCTGTAAACACATGTGGGGGACATGAGACAGAAACTAACATGGACTTGGGCATATGAAACAAAGGAAGCCTGCAGTCTGGATCTCAGGACAGAATCATCTTCAGGGGACCACCAAGACTGTGGCAGGGTGCCCAGGAGAGTAGACAGGTCCGAGTGGCCTGTGTCAGAGAAGCACTGTGGCAGTCCCTTAGAGCTCCTACGCAACACAAGGAAGCCCAGAGGAGGAGGGGATCCTGAAAGACCCCTGCTTTCCCTGAGAATGCTCTGGAAGTGGGAATTGAACATTTCACACTTCCTCAGTAGAAACCACTAAGCATAGAGTAGCCACAACTTGGTTTATACTGAAGGAAGAAATGAGAGCAAGGAATGTAAATAAAAGTGACCTGTTTATTTTAAATTTTTTAATGTCTGTGTTCAGTCCATTTGAATTATTCATTAAACAACATAGTTGCTTCATGTCCTTTGCAGGCACATGAAATGCATAATGACATTTACTTAAAAAGAAGCCCAAATACAAATGTCCCAAAGATCCAAGATTCAAGTGATAACCATTATGCCAAATCTTTTGTTAAAGAGCAGGGCACGGTGGCACAGGCCTGTAATTCCACCTATGGGGAGACCAAGGGAGGAGGATTGTTACACGCCCACGGGTTCAATTACCCATTGAGTGGTAGCAGACCAAAACATCAAAACAGTGGGAGTTGCAGCAGAGAAGGAGTTTAATAATCATATGTCAGCTGAAGTATGTCTGGAGTTTGTTCCTTCCGGTGGGTTCGTGGTCTCACTGACTTGGGACCCTCGCGGTGATTGCTACAGCTCTTAAAGGTGGTGCGGACCCGAAGACTGAGCAGCAGCAAGATTGGTGCATTTTTACAGAGTGCTGATTGGTACATTTATAATCCTCTTGTAAGACACAAAATTTTCCTAAGTCCCCACCCGACCCAGGAAGTCCAGCTGGCTTCATCGCTCTGAAGAAAGAAAAGAAAGGAAGCCTCATATCAGCCTTCTGGAGAGACTTGGAGATGACGTTTTTAAGGAGTCTGGACGGGTGATGAGCTGAAGTGTGGGGACTGCTGATTGGTCGAGAAGTGAGTGATGGAGTCACTAGACAGCGAGATGAAGATGCTGCATCCTGCACTGAGTCAGTTTCTCAGACAAGCTCCACAGACCCCCTGCGTCAGTGGATCCACTAGAATTCAGGATCCGGAAAACATTTTAAATAGAAAACTTGAGGTTTCCTAAAATTAAAGATGATATCTAAAGAAACAATTAACGGTAGTTAGGACCCTGTGAGAAGGGCTACCTGACTTTTAAGCAGTAAGCAGTCATACGGAAGTAGGCTATCGGGCGAGCTGGTTCATGCTTAGTGTATGCTTCTACTAAAAGTTTATGCTTTTGGCTAAAAACCCAGCAATTTAGTTTTCTTCACTTTATGAGAATAGTTTTAGCATGACTTGCACTGAGGTGTTTGAGACCAGCCTTGGCAACACAGTAAGACGGTGTCTAAAAAAAAGTATCTACAGGAATCATTCCCATGACTATTGCCTAGATATGGATGGGATTCTGCTCTTCATAAGTAGATATATATGTAGTAAAATATGTTTCATTAATGAATCAAGAGATTTAATATAGAAAAGATTTCATTTTCCCACAAATCATGCTCTAGATGGTAAGAATTCACACTGAGACACAAAACTTTTTTCCTATAGACATTTTGCTGGTTGATTCTAATTATTATGTGAAAATGCAATGGGCTAAGAATACATAAACATGCTTTGAGGTATGAATAATTTGAACATAGAACAGGTACTTAAGAGCATCATCTGGGCATGTGAAGAGGAAAAGACCAAGCCACTGATGGTAACAGATAATAGTCTGTGGAGCCATAGAGAAAAGAGATTATTACAATACATTGTGATGACACATGTTATTATTAGAAATAGTAGGATGTATGAGAGTAGAATATAAAGATAAAGTTGAACAAGCACATTCAACATGCTTCCTCATGTAGATGATACCTGATGTGTACCCTGAGAAAAGGGAGAAATGAGGATTCACGCAGTGAAAGAAACTTGTGAGGATAGAGAACAATGCATTAAAGGTAAAACCAATTGTATCCTTAATGTAATGAAGGACTGCCTTTTCAAAACTTGTTCAGAAAACTGCATTCAACTTAAGATGAAGAGAACATAAAGTTCCAGGTACAGTGTGATCCTGCCAGTGTAGGAGTGAATTAGCCAGTGGAGAGAATCACATACCCTACTAAAGAAAATGACATCATCAAAATATATTTTAATTAGATAGTTCTAGGAACTTTTCAAGCCAGTCTAGATTGATTGATTATTGATTTCATTAAAGATGTGCCACATATTTTATGTTATTAAAACTGTACAACATGATGTTTGACATCCAACTACATGTTGAAATGATTACTACACTCAAATTATACAGCACTTTCCATAGTTACAATCTTTATAGTAAGAGGACTTAAAACCCATTCTCTTAGCAAATTTTCAATATATAATACAGTATAAGTTTTATGGAAATAATGTTGATGCTTTTAGGCACATGCCTAAGCAGGTATAAAAATAGTGGAGCAGAGGATTTGACCCCAACCCAAGCTGTATAGATGTGTTGATTTATGAGAAAAATAAGTAGAAATAAAATTGTCCAGGCAGAATGTCTTGTATGAGAATACCGGTGGCAACCAAGGGGGCAGAAATTGAGTGTGTTGTGATGTGACTGGGGAATGGTTCAAATAATCTACTCCACACTCAGTAGACTGTAACTCCTATAGAATCTCTTGTAAAGAAACTCTTGTTTTTCTAAAGACAAATTGGCTTATCCCCAAAAATAATTATTTATCCTGAGGTAAATTTATTAATAAATCATTACTTTAGGAAAAAGAATAAGCTATACCCACCGGTTGAGAGAAAATACAATACTATCTTATATTCAATTAGATTCAGTAATCTTAAATAATTTATTATTTTTGTCTTAATAATAATGAGAAATGAATGACATATAACTATTATGCTGAATGCTATGATTAGTTTGAACATTTATTATTTTAATTTTAATGAAACCCTACTGCCCACAATTTAGTGGAAAATAAATGATCTATATTTTGATAAAAAGAAACAGCAAAAACAAAACAACATAGATGTCTTAGAATATGCAATTATAATGTCAAGACTCAATTTTAAAAAATTTTCTAGAGTAATTTTTGTTCCACGCTCCTGGCATGGAATATTATTTTTCGTAACTGCTGTACACTGCTAAGTTGATGTGAGGCTAGTGCTTGGACTCTAAGGCAGAAAGTTTGTCTTCATCTTCACAGGGAAGATTCTCTGACTCACTCGTGTCAGGGCCCCCATCACCTCCCTGTTTCTCAGGCTGTAGATGATGGGGTTGAGCATTGAGGTGAGGATGGTGTAGAACACAGCCAGAACCTTGTCCTCTGTTGGAGATTGCAGGTATCTTGGATATAGATAGGTATAAGCAAACATTGCATAGTAGAAAATTACTACAGTGAGGTGGGTGCTACAGGTCGAATAGGCCTTCTTCCTCCCTTCTGCAGATTTAATGTGGTAGACAGTAAGGAGAACCTCACCATAGGAACATGCAATACCAATAAAGGTAAACATGAGAAAGAGGGTTGTGCTCAAAAACACTGTGCACTCATAGACCCAGGTGTCCACGAAGGCCAGAGTCACCATGGCTGGGACATCACAGCCCTGGCTGAGCAACAGGGATATGGGGCATATATGAAATGTGAGCACAAGTGTCGATAGAGCCCATTATCCAAGATCCTATTATCATCAGCACATACTATCTTGCTCATATGGATGGGATAGTGGAGAGGAAAGCAAACAGCTACATAATGATCACAGGCCATTGATGTCAGTGGCAGCATTTCTGCACCTGCTAAAGTCACAAAGAAGAAACTCTGAATTCCACACCCAATGAAGGAAATAGACTTGTTTCCAAACAGAAAATCAGAAAACATCTGGGGACAATAGTGGAGATGTAATTTAGGTCAATGAGGTAGAGCCGACTAAGTAAGAAATAAATGGGCGTGTGGAGATGAGTGTCCAAGAAGATGAGAAGGATCACGGACTGATTGCCAATTAAAGCCAATAGCAAAATGAGAACAAGGAGAATGAAGAGGAGAAAGCCAATTCTGGATGGTGGGAAGATCCCCAATAAGATGAAATCAGTTGATGTTTGATTGTATTTTTCCATGGGGCATTCCTACAATCCTTCCTGCAGGGCGGCAGAAAGATAAGTGAATTAGTTCCTCCTTATCCACAGGGGATGCATTCCAAGACCTCCAGGGAATGCCTGAAACTGAGGATAATATTGAGTCTCATATACACTATTTCCACTATTTCTTTGGATCCATATATACTTATGATAACATTCAGTTTATAAGTTAGGCAAGTAAGAGATTAACAAAAATAAAAATAAAATAGAACAATTATAAAAATACACCGTAGTAAACATTATGTAAATGTGGTCTCTTTTTTCTCTCTGTCAAAATAACTTTTTTTTTTAATATACTTTAAGTTCTGGGATACACGTGCTGAATGTGCAGGTTATGTAGGTATACATGTACCATGGTGGTTTGTTGCATCCATCAATCCATCACCTAGGTTTTAAGCCCCGCATGCATTAGGTATTTGTCCTAATGCTATCCCTCCTCTTGGCCCCCCCACAAAGGTTCTGGTGTGTGATGTTCCCCTCCATGTGTCCACGTGTTCTCACTGTTCAACTCTCGCTTATGAGTGAGATGTTTAGTTTTCTATTCCTGTGTTAGTTGGCTAGAGAATGATGGTTTCCAGCTTCATCCATGTCCCTGCAAAGGATATGAACTCGTTCTTTTTCATGGCTGCAGAGTATTCCATGATGTCTATGTGCCACATTTACTTTATCCAGTCTATCATTGATGGGCATTTGGGTTGGTTCCCAGCCTTAGCTATTGTAAATAGTGCTGCTATAAACATACGTGTGTCTGTGTCTTTATACTAGAGCGATTTATAATCCTTTAGGTATATACCCAGGAATGGGATTGCTAGAGCAAATGGTATTTCTGGTTCTAAATCCTTGAGCAATCGCCACACTGTCTCCCACAATGGTTGAACTAATTTACACTCCCATTAGTAGTGTAAAAGCTTTCCTATTTCTCCACTTGCTCACCAGCATCTGTTGTTTCCCGACATTTTAATGATCACCATTCTAACTGGCATGAGAAGATATCTTATTGTGGTTTTGATTTGCATTTCTCTAATGACTAGTGATAATGAGCTTTTTTTCAAATGTTTGTTGGCCACATAAATATCTTCTTTTGGGAAGTGTCTGTTCATATCCTTCGCCCACTTTTTGTAGTTCTCCTTTAACAGGCCCTGCACATTGCTTGTAAGTTGTATTCCTAGGTATTTTATTTTCTTTGTAGCAATTGTGAATGGGAGTTCACTCATGATTTGGCTCTCTGTCTGTCTATTATTGATGTATAAGAATGCTAGTGATTTTTGCACATTGATTTTGTATCCTGAGGCTTTGCTGAAGTTGCTTATCAGCTTAAGGAGTTTTTGGGTGGAGATGATGGGGATTTCTAAGTATACAATTATGTCATCTGCAAACAGAGGCAATTGGACTTCCTCCCTTCCTATTTGAATATCCTTTATTTCTTTCTCTTGCCTAATTGCCCTGGCCAGAACTTCCAATACTATGTTGCCCAGGAGTGGTGAGAGAGGGCATTTTTTGTCTTGTTATGGTTTTCAAATGGGATGCCTCCAGATTTTGCCCATTCAGTGTGACATTGGGTATGTGTTTGTCATAAATAGCTTTTATTAATTTGAGACATATTTCATCAATACCTAATTTATTGAGTGTTTTTAGCATGAAGGGGTGTTGAATTTTATTGAAAGCCTTTCCTGCATCTATCAAGATAATCATGTGGTTTTTGTCATTGGTTCTGTTTATTTGATGGATTGCATTTATTTATTTGCATATGTTGAATCAACCATGCATACCAGGGATGAAGCCAACTTGACCGTGGTGGATAAGCTTTTTGATGTACTGCTGGATTCAGCTTTCCAGTATTTTATTGAGGATTTTCACATCAATGTTCATTGGGGATATTGGCTTGAAATTTTGTTTTTTTGTTGTGTCTCTGCCAAGTTTTGGAATCAGGATGATGCTTGCCTCATAAAATGAGTTAAGGAGGAGTTCCTCTTTTTCTATTGTTTGGAATAGTTTCAGAATGAATGGTACCAACTCTTCTTTGTACCTCTGGTTGAATTTGGCTGTGAATCTGTCTGGTCCTGGGTTTTTTTTGTTTTGTTTTGTTTTTGTAGGCTATTAATTACTGCCTCAATTTCAGAACTTGTTATTGGTCTATTTAGGGATTCGACTTCTTCCTGGTTTAGTCTTGAGAGAGTGTATGTGTCCAGGAATTTATCCATTTCTTCCGGGTTTTCTAGTTTATTTGCATAGAGATGTTTATAGTATTCTCTGATGCGAGTTTGTATTTCTGTGGGATCAGTGGTGATATCCCCTTTATCATTTTTTATTGTGTCTATTTGATTCTTCTCTCTTTTCTTCTTTATTTGTCGCTAGTTGTCTATTTTGTTAATCTTTTCAAAAAACCAGCTCCTGGATTCACTGATTTTTTTGAAGGGTTTTTCATGTCTCCATCTCTTTCAGTTAAACTCTGATCTTGGTTATTTCTTGTCTTCTGCAGTCATTTGAATTTGTTTGCTCTTGCTTCTCTATTTCTTTTAATTGTGATGTTAGTGTGTCAATTTTAGATTTTTCCCCTTTTCTAATGTGGGCATTTAGTGCTATCAGTTTTCCTCTAAACACCGCTTTAGCTGTGTCCCAGATCTTCTGGTATGTTATGTCTTTGTTCTCACTGGTTTCAAACAACTTATTTATTTAAGCCTTAATTTCGTTATTTACCCAGTATTCATTCAGGAGCAGGTTGTTCAGTTTCCATGTAGTTGTACAGTTTTGAGTGAGTCCCTTAACCCTGAGTTCTAATTTGATTGCACTGTGGTCTCAGAGACTGTTTGCTATTACTTCTGCCCTTTTGCATTTGCTGAGGAGTGTTTGACTTCCAATTATGTGGTCAATTTTAGAATAAGGGTTATGTGTTGCTGAAAAGAATGTACATTCCATTGATTTGGGGTGGAGAGTTCTGTAGATGTCTATTCGGTCCGCTTGGTCCAGAGCTGAGTTCCAGTCCTGAATATCCTTGTAAATTTTCAGTCTCATTGATCTGTGTAATATTGACAGTGGGGTGTTAAAGTCTCCCACTATTATAGCGTGGAAGTTTAAGTCTAGCCATATGCAGAAAACTGAAACTGGACCCCTTTCTTACACCTTATACAAGAAGTTATACTCACTTTACTTTATCTAGATGAGGGTTAAACCAATTCACTTAATGTGTCTGAAAGAGAATATGGAAGCAGAATATTGATGACATGACCCTATCATCAAATTATGTCAATGTTTATGGGAATAAAACAGGTTTAAACTATAACAAATTGGCTGAGTTCTGTTAGATAGCCGAGAGCACAACCTGCAGGCTCAGGATAAATGCCTCAACCAACCTTTCTTCCACAATCCCTAGGTGCCACTACTTCCAAAGTACTGCAAGGACCTGCCAACCTGGATCTCGATGGCTGGTGCTCCCTAATAGTGTCTGCTCTACGTTCTTCTGCTCCTTATTTGAAGAAAAGAAAAGATTCAGACTAAAAAAAAGCAAAGTAAAAAAACAGTCTCCAGGTATGTGAAACTATTGTATCACAGTTAATTTTTGGATTTAATTTTTTTATCTTTGGAGATCACATGAGTATATATTTATAAATAAGTTGATATAGAAATAAATATATGTTTATATTTGTTTACTTGGTAAAATCAACAGTCTCTTTAAAGCTGCCAAATTTCTTGCCTGAAAATTACCGTATCTATATAGTCATTTATCAGTAAAGGAGTGAAGGACATGCCATCTCCCAAACAACAAATTGGAATATTGATTACTTTGAGTTAAATACATAGGAAGAATGGTTCTTTCAGAAAGGGCCAGCTGACCTGTCTCCTCCTGCATGCATGAAGCCATAAAGATTCCTCAGTGATAAAATAGCTCCATGTACCACGTTGATAAAATAGCTCTTACACCAGAGCCTGGGATCTGGGGCTGCAATGGATCTGAATAAATAAAGTTACGTGAGTAACTCTTCTACAAGTTTTACATCCCTTTGTATATCTCCTAGTGACTCACCTAGAAATTTATGTGTTTCTTTATAATATGCTTTGCCAGTTGGAATATAGTGAAGATTAATTTTAGAGTAAAAATAAAAAATCTTTATAAAATCGGGTTGACAATATAGGATGAAAACTGTAGAGTTAGTCTTGTCCCTTGGTACTATTGAATATGATCCAAGTTGCATTCTAAGAAGTAACCCAAAAGAAAGGGGGAAAAATCCTATATACACACAAGTTGTGGGTTTTTCCCCAAGATTCTTCATGATGCATAACAAGAAAAACTATTACAAAACTATTACATTGTTGCCATGGAATACAATATGAAAGCGAAGGTGATCTCAGAGACCATGTTTTTTGTTTGTTTGTTTTTAATTATTATTATACTTTAAGTTTTAGGGTACATGTGCACAATGTACAGGTTAGTTACATACGTATACATGTTAATTGACAGGCAAATGTCATGTTTTACAAATTTTATAAAATGTATATGAGAGACTATAAAATGGAATAGTTATTAAATTATTAGGGGAGATCCAGATTCTTTGTTTACAAAATGCTATTAATTTTGAGGAAATCCTCAAAATTATGGAAATAATTTTGGAAATAAAAAAATAAAACATCCTCCCTGGCAACACAGGTTTTCTTAATTCTGGCAGGTTATTACAATGCTGTAGTACATGACCAAAACATAAGCATTCAGTAACTGACTGAAGTATAGTTCTGCATAGGAGTTGGCCGGGAAGTGAAAAACCTGGCGGAATTAACCCAAAAGCTTCAGAGAACACCAACCCATGTTGTATGCACTCAGTCTCAGAGTCTTAGCAATAATCTGCATCAGGAGCAGCCATCATGTAGAAGGTTCCTAGTATTCCATGGCTCTGGCCCCCTGGATCACCATGTAGATCTCATCGGTGCTTTTGCTGCTGGTACAAAATGCAAGGCATCTGAATAAAGCCCTTAGCTTCAGGCTCTGAAAATGCCAACTGGATCACATTTAGGAGAAAAAAGATTACCAAATACTTTCTACATTTCATGCAGATTATTTTCAAATCTGGAGATATTTAATCCTGGCAGAAAATGGCCTGTTTTGCTAATATACTGCTAACATCAGGATATGACTAATTTGAAAGTGAGGTCTGCTTTAAACTATTGTTAAATGAGATAGCATTTGTAAAGTAATTATCTCCTTCTTGGGAAAGCATCCAATCCTGCTAGCCTACACTTTGTTAATAACCAATGTGTCAAGAAAGAGCTAGTAATAACATAGGGGAACGTGTGTTATAAAAATGCCTTGTCCCATGAAGACTTCATGACTAAAACACCAAAAGCAATGGCAACAAAAGCCAAAATTGACAAATGGGATCTAATTAAACTAAAGAGCTTTTGCACAGCAAAAGAAACTACCATCAGAGTGAACAGGCAACCTACAGAATGGGAGAAAATTTTGCAATCTACCCATCTGACAAAGGGCTAATACCCAGAATCTATGAAGAACTTAAACAAATTTACAAGAAAAAAACAAACAACCCCATCAAAAAATGGGCAAAGGATATGAGCAGACACTTCTCAAAAGAAGACATTTATGCAGGAAACAGACACATGAAAAAATGCTCATCATCACTGGTCATCAGAGGAATGCAAATCAAAACTACAATGAGATACCATCTCACGCCAGTTAGAATGGTGATCATTAAAAAGTCAGGAAACAACAGATGTTGGAGAGGATGTGGAGAAATAGGAACACTTTTACACTGTTGATGGAAGTGTAAATTAGTTCAACCATTGCGGAAGACAGTGTGGCGATTCCTCACGGATCTAGAACTAGAAATACCATCTGACCCAGCCATCCCATTACTGGGTATATACCCAAAGGATTATAAATCATGCTGCTATAAAGACACATGCACACGTATGTTTATTGCAGCACCATTCACAATAGCAAAGACTTGGAACCAACCCAAATGTCCATCAATGATAGACTGGATTAAGAAAATGTGGCACATATACACCATGGAATACTATGCAGCCATAAAAAAGGATGCGTTCATGTCCTTTGCAGGGACATGGATGGAGCTGGAAACCATCATTCTCAGCAAACTATCACAAGGACAGAAAACCAAACACCATATGTTCTCAGTCATAGGTGGGAATTGAACAATGAGAACACTTGGATACAGGGTGGGGAACATCACTCACCTGGGCCTGTTGGGGGGTGGGGGGCTGGGGGAAGGATAGCACTAGGAGAAATATCTAATGTAAATGACAAGTTGATGGGTGCAGCAAACCAACATGGCATATGTATACCTATGTAACAAACCTGCACAGTGTGCACATGTACCCTAGAACTTAAAGTATACTAAAAAAAATAAATAAATAAAAATGTCTTGTCCCAAAAGGTATTCTTCCAAAAGCAGGATGGTTCCATTGAACTCTTCTAATCTTAAAACTTCTTAGTTTTATGATTTAGGGTAAGTTACATAAACTCTCTGACATTCAGTTTAATTATCTATAAAAGTGGAGTCATATTCTCCTTTTATATTATAAAGTTTATTATTATTTATGGTTATTATGATTATTCATGGTTTACTTTATGCGATGAATAAAAAGCACCACATATATGCTTTTTACACACAAACGTTTGTTCCTCTTTCTCCTTTCTACTTTCTGTAACAGAAAGTCTTGATTTCTGATATGATACACAGTAATGAGAAGAGATTTAAAAGGAAGAAGAAGGAGAACGAGAGGAGGAGGATGAGGAGAAGGAGAAAAAGAAGAAAGAAAGAAGAAAGAAGGAAGAAGAAGAAGAGGAAGAGGACGAGGAAGGAGGAGGAAGGAAGGACGAGGAGGAGAAGGAGGAGGAGGAGAAGGAGGAAGAGGAGGAGAACTTACAACTGGTTAGGAAGTAAAAGACATTGTGAAATTATTTTTTAATAATACTAGGATTCTCAAAAATAATATATAAAGAGCTGTTTGAGATTCATATTTAAATAGGTAGGTAATTATAGGAGGTCAATGAAGTAAGGGGGGAGGAAAAAGAAAAAATAGAAATCAAAAGCTGGTATTTCTGGACAAATTGATTAAATAAAAAATAATCAAATGTTTAATAATGGAATATTGATACTAAAAAACATCAATAGTATCAATAACAATAATTTGATATATTAATTTTGTATTAATAAATGACTGAGGCTGGGCGCAGTGGCTCATGCCTGTAATCCCAGCACTTTGGGAGGCCAAGGCAGAAGGATCACTTGAGATCAGGAGTTCGAAACCAGCCTGAGCAACATGGTGAAAACCAGTCTCTACTAAAAATACAAAAATTAGCCGGGTGTGGTGGCGGGTGCCTGTAATCTCAACTATTTGGGAGCCTGAGGCAGGAGAATCGCTTGAACCCGAGGGGCAGAGGTTGCAGTGAGCCAAGCTCAAGCCACTGCACTCCAGCCTGGGCGAGAGAACAAGACTCTATCTCAAAAAAACAAAAAAACAAACAAACAAACAAAAAAAGAAAGAAAGAAAGAAATGAATGGATGATGTGCATTGTGTCTTAAGAGAATATTTTCTGAAAATAGAGGCAGAGGGAAAAGCAGTTGTGTAATCCCCCTTAAAGGAACTTGTCAGAAGTGCCTGGGTGGCCCCGGGTGTGCACCTCGTGTGTGTGTGTGTGTGTGTGGTGTGTGGTGTGTTTGCATGCACAAAAGGTGTTACGGTGCAGAAGGAAAAGAGTCACATCAATAGATACTCCTGTCTTTGTTTCACCCTACTCTCTTTTCTACTGCCACCTGTCATGATTTTCCCTTCAGATGCTGTAAGCTTTGACTCTTCTCTTCCTCAAGATAAGAAAACAGCAATTTCTTTCCTGTTAATACATTATTCAATATTAATAAATTTCAATCACTGGATTTTCTTAAAGAAACATTATTAATCAAGCATGAAAACCACGAAAGGAAAACAGGAACAGAAATTAAGTTTGCCGATCAGCAGAGATTTCTGTCAGCTTTCATTTTTGTTTACTCTCACATGACCAGTGTCTGTAACAGTGTCACACACAAATTAAAGCATTAAAACACCTGAGTGAAAGAAGGAATAAATGAATTATGCATTTTTCTCTCTGTTAACTTTGGTTGTTATATAGATTATCTTGAGGTTAAATGTTTAAGTAGATTTTATTTTTATGGTTCACATTTCAGAGTATTCAAGAGGGCAAGTAAAAGCATTAAAATGCCAGGGGAACACAGATTTAAGAAGCCTGAATTCTATTGCTTTACAAGTTAAACAAGATTGATAAACACTGTTTTTGTGACTTCTATACAGAAAACACATATTTATATCTTTCCAGATAGTTTTCAGGAACAGCTTTTTATGTTGTTAATGCTCAATCAATACAGAGATCTGAAGTCATATTTTCTACAGCATATCCAATATCCCAACAGTCTCCTCACTGCCCCCGTCACTTCCTTATTTCTCAGGCTGTAGATAAATGGGTTCAGTAGAGGTGTGACAATGGTGTAAAATACTGCCACCGCCTTATCCCGTGAAGGGGAACGCAAGGAGTGTGGCCTTGTGTAGGTAAAGAGAGTGGTTGCATAGAACAGGCTTGCCACAATCAGGTGGGAGGAACAAGTGGAAACAGCTTTTGCCTGTCCTTTTCCTGAGCTCATCTGGAATACCACAATAAGCACACGAGCATAGGAAGCCAGAATGGCTAGGAATGGTAGTAGCAAGATAATAAGTCCACTCAGGAGGACTGTATACTCATACTGGGAGGTGTCCTGACACACCAATGATAGTAGAGCTGGAACTTCACAGAAAAAGTGGTTAATGAGCCGAGACCTACAGAATGGAAGCTGAAACACATACAATGTATGTATGAAAGCATTGATAGAACCACTGGCCCATGCACATGCAACCATGAGGCAGCAGATCTTCTTGCTCATAAGCATAGGATAATGTAAAGGGTGACAGATAGCTACATAGCGATCATAAGACATAAAACCAAGGAGAAGGGCTTCAGTTCCACCAAGGGCCAAGAACACATACGTTTGAATCTCACAGCCCAAAAATCTAATGGTCTTACTCTGTGAGAGGAAGCTGACTGCCATCTTGGGCACTGTGGTGGAGATGTACATGAGGTCAACGATGGAGAGCTGACTGAGCAGAAAGTACATTGGAGTGTGGAGTCTGGTGTTCAGTCGAATGAGGTGGATCAGCATGATATTTCCTGTCAGAGCAACTGTAAAGAGGGTGGCAATGACGACAAAGAGAAGAGAGTTTATCCAGCCATATTGGAAAAGACCAACAAGTAGAAAATCTGTCCCAAAACTTTGATTTCCTGTTTTCATGGCTGAAACCAAAATATCAAAGGAGATGACATCTGAAATGTTCATGTAATAATGTTGACTTCCCTTAAGAGAAAGTAAAATGACATGGCATTCAGAAATAAATATTCACTTACATGTTTGGCAACTATCTACATGTTTAGAGCACAAAGTGCTTTCTGGTACAAAATGGCAAACACATTCTCGCATACTGTTACTGGGATGCAAATTTTTATAACTTTTTGGAAGAATTACCTAATGTATAGACAGATTATATATGCAAACATACATGAGATAACTTAAATTATATGTAAGTATATGTACATATACATATATAATACTTAAATATACTTACATATAGTAATAGAAATATATGTAAATGTATATTTATATACACTTAAGTATATATGAATTATATATACTCATAGTTATATATCTTTTAAAGACAAGTATATTTTATATACACGTATCTATAAACATATTACTCATGTGTATTTATGAATATTATATAAAAATATATGTAATTTCTATATATACTTCAATATATTATATATTACATATATGCTAATATATAACATGCATGCTTATGTATGTGTACAGCAATACATATACACATATATACACATATGTGTGTAAACTTATAAAAAAGATAAAAGTTTAAGAACACGTATCATAGATGTGTAGAAGAAAATTCATAGCAGCATTACTCAAAATAGTCAGAAACTGAAAATGTCCCAAAGTAGAATGAATTAATGAACTATGCTATGTTAATATAAAATAGAGTATTAAATATTATTCTAAAAACCAGAGAAATGTAAAGTAACACCACCATGCACTATATATACCAGAATTGTGAAACTTTAAAAATAATAAAAGAAATACACAGAAAAATTGTGTGGATGATAAATTTGATCATTATGACTTCCAAAGTCTTCCAATAGAGTGCAAATTTCATACTCTTTGGAAGTCATGTGTTATTTTCTAGTAAATTTGGAATTTACTTGTGCTATAACGCAGCAGTTCCTGGGTATATAATCAATTAGAGCTTTGCACAGGAAGACCAGTAGATTTCTATAGCCATCTCCATTACAGCATCAGATGTGATAGAATCCAAATAGGTGCCCATCAATCCTGATATGGCTAAACACACTGCAGTAAGATGACACAATGAAATATTATATGTCAATAAAAATGAGAGACAGGAATGTGTCATAAACACAAAACTCACTGGAGGCCAAACTCAGTAGAATAAGTGGTTTAAAATTAATGTACACTGTTTACACATTTCTTTAGAACTTATAAATAAAGTATGAAGAGTATTACTACAAGATAAGATAGTAATTACATTCAGGTGGAAGGAGGACTTTTTGTTTGGAAATGGGAATGCAAAGGGCTTCTGAGCGTGCTGACATTGGTCTATATCCTGAACTGGCAAGTGGTCACACAGGTGTTCAATTTATCATACCTTGTTTCCTTGTGGTTATCTTGCCTATGGCTATGTGTGTGTATGTGTTTTAAATTTTACCATAACAACATTAATAAAAGTAAGATGCAGAATAGTAATTAATAAAAATAATATATGGTCATATATGTGTCTACCTATGGAATGATACACAATGAACTGGAAACCCTTTTTGTACTAGAGAGAGGACAGAGGACATATATGAGGAATGCAGATTGGAAAGAAAATCAGCCTAAATTCTAAATGTTTTTCTAATTTTATGCTTATGTTATTGTCATATATTAATTACTTATAACTATGCCAAAATTAACTAAAACATAGACATAAGAAAAAGGCATATCTCGATTATACTAAAAATCTGAAATCTGGAGTTTCAACCCAAGCATGTATGTTTTTCAAAATGCCCTTGAATATTCCTGAGATAGGAATTCAGCCGGACTTGTTTCAAAAGATACAAGGAACAAAGACTCCACTGATAAAACAGGATGTGGTAAATAAGCTGACTGAAACCTACCAAAACCATCATGGCAATGAAAGCCACCTCTGGTGGTCCTCACTGCTCATTATAATTAGAATACATTAACATACCAAAGGAAACTCCCACCAGCACCATGACAGTTTACAAATGCCATGGCAAAGTCCAGAAGTTACCCTATATGGTCTGAAAAGGTGAGGACCCCTCCGTTCCTGGAACTCCCCTCACCTTTCCCAGAAAACATGAAGAATTCACTCCTTGTTTAGCATATAATCAAGAAATAACAACCCCAAGTATGTGGTAAGCTCATGCTGCTACTCTGCCTATGAGTAGGCACCTTTTTATTCCTTGACTTTTCAATAAACTTGCTTTCACTTTACTCTGTTGGCTTGCTCTTGAATTCCTTCCTGCATGAAGGCAAGAACCCACATGGCATCCCGGGCTGAGCCTCAATTTTGCGGTTTGCCCTGTGATAATCTGACTAGAACATTTGCAAGTCCAAACTTATCTATTTCTTCAATTTATTGTGTATTGAAATTTGAGTCTTATTCTTAAAAAAAGAAAATACATGTATTATTTAGAAATTAAAGAAAAATAATTTACAAGAATAATAATATGAGCAAGGAATTGCATCAAATATTTTTGTCATATTTAGGAGTATTTTTCCTGGATTTCTTTAAAACATGCAACTATCTAGGAACAATTAAATTTGGCGATTTGTAGAAAGTCAATTAAAACTACCTGGGAAGATACAGTGCAACTATATTTCTAACAAAGCAGTTTATTAGGAGGCCAAAAAGATGTTTTAGCTGATAATAGTAAAAGTAGACACTTCTGCTATAATGTGATAGTTAGATTTTCAAAAAAGTTTACGCTGGTAAAACTGCACATTGAAAAGGTGAAATTTATAGGGCAAATAGGGATAAACCATTCAATACTTATGAGATATTTAATCAGGTCATTAACTCTAACTTGTGATAAAATTAGTAGCCCTGATGAATTTCTACTTGCAGTTTAAATCAGTGTCACACAGCCAGTGTCTGCTTCCTGACATTCAGCCCTTCTCCTTCTCCTGGAGTCAATACTTTCTTCTGTGAATGGTAGATACTTGTATTAATTTACTTTCAATAGTCTACTGAATCAGTAGTTAGCATCTGATCCCTGGTAGCTGTCTCCACTAATTAAGATTTAGCACCAGGGAAATATCTTTGCAATTACCTAATTGGCACTCTAGTCTCACCAGTTTACAATTATAGAATTCATAGAGGATACTGAAGGTAAATAACCCACTACTTCTGGTAAAGGCACAACTTCTGTGAAATTTTTAAGTTTACTCAGTATATTTACATATTTCTTAGACTTTCTCCTCTGGGCCAAAGCAAAAAATTGGACTCCATTCTGAAAATCTGGAAATCTGAGATGGAGGAGGGGAGGGATCATATGATCACACTGGAAGCAGCAACGAAAATAGGTTCTCCCTGACCAAATTGGCCCCCTTCCAGTAACTGTTCTAATCTTTACAAGTAAGATTCTGAATTTTTAATGAGTCAAAAGTTAAAAATCGGGTGGCTCATACATTTTCAGAAACACACGAGAATCAGGCTTTTTTTTTGGCCTTTGCCAAAGTGTGTAATACTGAGCTCTGCTAGCTACCAAATATCCAAAAATGTAAACTGCATTTTATCCATGAAATTATTTAAACACCGTCTGGAAAGACACCCCAAAGTTCTACCCAGTCATTGCCTCCCAATAAAAACACAGGGAGTCCTCCTCTTCAGGTCCAGACATGGCTTCTTTCTCTGGATGTGGATCCTGATCTTGGGACAAATTTCTGACCCAATATTGTCCATGATCCCTGACTCTACTAGGAGATATTTCCTTGTATATTATCCATGGTCCATCTGAACCGGACATCGGAGTCTTTGCCTTCCTTGAATCTAGGCAGTTCAATTAGCCTGCTTCCCAAAGGGCACCTTACTTTACCATCACAAGCCTTACAAACAGGCTTGTAGATTACTTATCATTACATTCCCATCCTTTCTCATCTATCTGCCTCAAGTCAATTTCATGAGCCACAGTCCACATGCCCAATTCCTTCCAAGACCCAGTTCTCAATACTATCTTCTTACAAATACTTCCTCAAACCTATGCAATGTGGTCTTCCTTGAGGTTACTTGACCTGACAGTTCTAGGCTGGAGATTATGCCCATTTATCTGTCTGTGTCCTGGTGATGTGTGGAATTTATTCCAGGCTCATATTGGGCATTGTGCATAATGTGTGTATACCAAGCCTGATTCTTCTGTGTTTCTGAAAATTTATGAGCCACCCGATTTTTAAAAATGTTTCTTTTATATCTCAATGAAAATAAATTTTCTGGAGGTGGAGCCAAGATGGCCGAATAGGAACAGCTCTAGTCTACAGCTCCCAGCGTGAGCGACGCAGAAGACGGGTAATTTCTGCATTTCCAACTGAGGTACCGGGTTCATCTCACACAGGATTGTCGGACAGTGGGTACAGGACACTGGGTGCAGCACACTGAGCGTGAGCCAAAGCAGGGCAAGGCATGGCCTCACCTGAGAAGTGCAAGGGGTCAGGGAAATCCCTTTCCTAGTCAAAGAAAGGGGTGACAGACAGCACCTGGAAAATCGGGTCACTCCCACCCTAATACTGCACTTTCGAATGGTCTTAGCAAATGGCACACCAGGAGATTAATCCCGCGCCTAGCTCAGAGGGTCCTACGCCAACGGAGCCTCACTCATTGCTAGCACAGCAGTCTGAGATCCAACTGCAAGGTGGCAGCGAGGCTGGGGGAGGGGTGCCTGCCATTGCTGAGGCTTGAGTAGGTAAAAAAAAGCAGCCAGGAGGCTCGAACTGGGTGCAGCCCACCGCAGCTCAAGGAGGCCTGCCTGCCTCTGTAAACTCCACCTCTGGGGGCAGGGCATACCTGAACAAAAGGCAGCAGAAACCTCTGCAGACTTAAAGGTCCCTGTCTGACAGCTTTGAAGAGAGTAGTGGTTCTCCCAGCATGCAGCTGAAGATCTGAGAACAGACAGACTGCCTCCTCAAGTGGGTCCCTGACCCCTGAGTAGCCTAAATGGGAGGCACCCCCCAGTAGGGGTGGACTGACACCTCACACGGCCTGGTACTCCTCTGAGACAAAACTTCCAGAGGAACGATCAGGCGGCAACACTTGCTGTTCACCAATATCCGCTGTTCTGCAGCCTCCGCTGCTGATACCCAGGTAAACAGGGTCTGGAGTGGACCTCCAGCAAACTCCAACAGAACTGCAGCTGAGGGTCCTGACTGTTAGAAGGAAAACTAACAAACAGAAAGGACATCCACACCAAAACCCCATCTGTACGTCACCATCATCAAAGACCAAAGGTAGATAAAACCACAAAGATGGGGAAAAAACAGAGCAGAAAAACTGGAAACTCTAAAAATCAGAGCGCCTCTCCTCCTCCAAAGGAACGCAGTTCCTCACCAGCAATGGAACAAAGCTGGACGGAGAATGACTGACGAGTTGAGAGAAGAAGGCTTCAGATGATCAAACTACTCTGAGCTAAAGGAGGAAGTTCGAACCCATTGCAAAGAAGTTAAAAACCTTGAAAAAAATTAGATGAATGGCTGACTAGAATAACCAATGCAGAGAAGTCCTTAAAAGACCTGATGGAGCTGAAAACCAAGGCACAAGAACTACGTGACGAATGCACAAGCCTCAGTTGCCACTTCAATCAACTGGAAGAAAGGGTATCAGTGATGGAATATCAAATGAATGAAATGAAGTGAGAAGAGAAGTTTAGAGAAAAAAGAATAAAAAGAAATGAACAAAGCCTCCAAGAAATATGGGACTATGTGAAAAGACCAAATCTACATCTGATTGGTGTACCTGAAAGTGACGAGGAGAATGGAACCAAGTTGCAAAACACTCTGCAGGATATTATCCAAGAGAACTTTCCCAATCTAGCAAGGCAGGCCAACATTCAAATTCAGGAAATACACAGAACGCCACAAAGATACTTCTTGAGAAGAGCAACTCCAAGAAAAGCAAATGTCAGATTCACCAAAGTATAAATGAAGGAAAAAATGTTAAGGGCAGCCAGAAAGAAAAGTCTAGTTACCCATAAAGGGAAGCCCATCGGACTAACAGCAGATCTCTCAGCAGAAACTCTACAAGCCAGAAGAGAGTGGGGGCCAATATTCAACATTCTTAAAGAAAAGAATTTTCAACCCAGAATTTCATATCCAGCCAAACTAAGCTTCATAAGTGAAGGAGAAATAAAATACTTTACAGACAAGCAAATGCTGAGAGATTTTGTCACCACCAGGCCTGACCTAAAAGAGCTCCTGAAGGAAGCACTAAAGATGGAAAGGAACAACCGGTACCAGCCACTGCAAAATCATGCCAAATTGTAAAGACCATCGAGGCTAGGAAGAAACTACATCAACTAACGAGCAAAATAACCAGCTAACATCATAATGACAGGATCAAATTCACACATAACAATATTAACCTTAAAAGTAAATGGGCTAAATATTCCAATTAAAAGACACAGGCTGGCACATTGGATAAAGAGTCAAAACCCATCAGTGTGCTGTATTCAGGAAAACCATCTCACGTGCAGAGACACACATAGGCTCAAAATAAAAGGATGGAGGAAGATCTACCAAGCAAATGGAAAACAAAAAAAGGCAGGGGTTGCAATCCTAGTCTCTGACAAAATAGACTTTAAACCAACAAAGATCAAAAGAGACAAAGAAGGCCATTACATAATGGTAAAGGGATCAATTCAACGAGAAGAGCTAACTATCCTAAATATATATGCACCCAATACAGGAGCACCCAGATTCATAAAGCAAGTCCGTAGAGACCTACAAAGAGACTTAGACTCCCACACAATAATAATGGGAGACTTTAACACCCCACTGTCAACATTAGAAAGATCAAAGAGACAGAAAGTTAACAAAGATATCCAGCAATTGAACTCAGCTCTGCACCAAGCGGACCTAATAGACATCTACGGAACTCTCCACCCCAAATCAACAGAATACACATTTTTTTCAGCACCACAACACACCTATTCCAAAATTGACCACATAGTTGGAAGTAAAGCACTCCTCAGCAAATCTAAAAGAACAGAAATTATAACAAACTGTCTCTCAGACCACAGTGCAATCAAACTAGACCTTGGGGTTAAAAAACTCACTCAAAACTGCTCAACTACATGGAAACTGAACATCCTGCTCCTGAATGACTACTGGGTACATAACGAAATGAAGGCAGGAATAAAGATGTTCTTTGAAACCAACAAGAACAAAGACACAACATACCAGAATCTCTGGGACACATTCAAAGCAGTATGTAGAGGGAAATTAATAGCACTAAATGCCCACAAGAGAAAGCAGGAAAGATCTAAAATTGACACCCTAACATCACCATTAAAAAAACTAGAGAAGCAAGAGCAAACACATTCAAAAGCTAGCAGAAGGCAAGAAATAACTAAGATCAGAGCAGAACTGAAGGAAATAGAGGCACAAAAACCCTTCAAAAAATCAATGAATCCAGGAGCTGGTTTTTTGAAAAGATCAACAAAATTGACAGACCACTAGCAAGGATAATAAAGAAGAAAACAGAGAAGAATCAAATAGATACAATAAAAAATGATAAAGGGTATATCACCACCGATCCCACAGAAATACAAACTACCATCAGAGAATACTACAAACACCTCTACGCAAATAAACTAGAAAATCTAGAAGAAATGGATAAATTCCTCAACACATACACCCTCCTAAGGCTAAACCAGGAAGAAATTGAATCTCTGAATAGACCAATAACAGGCTCTGAAATTGAGGCAATAATTAATATCTTACCAACCAAAAAAAGTCCAGGACCAGATGGATTCACAGCCGAATTTACCAGAGGTATAAGGAGGAGCTCGTACCATTCTTTCTGAAACTATTCCAACCAATAGAAAAAGAGGGAATCCTCCTTAACTCATTTTATGAAGCCAGCATCATCCTGATACCAAAGCCAGGCAGAGACACAACAAAAAAAGAGAATTTTAGACCAATATCCCTGATGAACATCGACGCAAAAATCCTCAGTAAAATACTGGCAAACCGAATCCAGCAGCACATCAAAAAGCTTATCCACCATGATCAAGTGGGCTTCATCCCTGGGATGCAAGGTTGGTTCAACATATGCAAATCAATAAATGTAATCCAGCATATAAACAGAACCAATGACAAAAACCTATGATTATCTCAATAGATGCAGAAAAGGCCTTCGACAAAATTCAACAACGTTCATGCTAAAAACTCTCAATAAATTAGGTATTGAAGGGACATATCTCAAAATAATAAGAGCTATCTATGACAAACTTACAGCCAATATCATATTGAATGGGCAAAAACTGGAAGCATTCTCTTTGAAAACTGGCACAAGACAGGGATGCCCTCTCTCACCACTCCTATTCAACATAGTGTTGGAAGTTCTGGCCAGGGCAATCAGGCAGGAGAAGGAAATAAAGGGGATTCAACTGGGAAAAGAGGAAGTCAAATTGTCCCTGTTTGCAGATGACATGATTGTATATCTAGAAAACGCCATTGTCTCAGCCCAAAATCTCCTTAAGCTGATAGGCAACTTCAGCACAGTCTCAAGATACAAAATCAATGTGCAAAAATCACAAGCATTCTTCTACACGAATAACAGACAAACAGAGAGCCAAATCATGAGTGAACTCCCATTCACAATTGCTTCAAAGAGAATAAAATACTTAGGAATCCAACTTAGAAGGGACGTGAAGGACCTCTTCAAGGACAACTACAAACCACTGCTCAATGAAATGAAAGAGGATACAAAGAAATGGAAGAACATTCCATGCTCATGGGTAGGAAGAATCAATATCATGAAAATGGCCATACTGCCCAAGGTAATTTATAGATTCAATGCCATCCCCATCAAGCTACCAATGACTTTCTTCACAGAATTGGAAAAAACTACTTTAAAGTTCATATGGAACCAAAAGAGAGCCCACATTGCCAAGTCAATCCTAAGCCAAAAGAACAAAGCTGGAGGCATCACGCTACCTGACTTCAAACTATACTACAAGGCTACAGTAACCAAAACAGCATGGTACTGGTACCAAAACAGAGATATAGACCAATGGAACAGAAGAGAGCCCTCAGAAATAATGCCGCATATCTACAACTCTCTGATCTTTGACAATCCTGACAAAAACAAGCAATGGGGAAAGGATTCCCTATTTAATAAATGGTGCTGGGAAAACTGGCTAGCCATATGTAGAAAGCTGAAACTGGATCCCTTCCTTACACCTTATACAAAAATTAATTCAAGATGGATTAAAGACTTAAATGTTAGACCTAAAACCATAAAAACCCTAGAAGAAAACCTAGGCATTACCATTCAGGACATAGGCATGGGCAAGGACTTCATGACTAAAACACCAAAAGCAATGGCAACAAAAGCCAAAATTGACAAATGGGATCTAATTAAACTAAAGAGCTTCTGCACAGCAAAAGAAACTACCATCAGAGTGAACAGGCAACCTACACAATGGGAGAAAATTTTTGCAATCTACTCATCTGAAAAAGGGCTAATAATATACAGAATCTACAATGAACTCAAACAAATTCACAAGAAAAAAACAATCCCATCAAAAAGCAGGCGAAGAATATGAACGGACACTTCTCAAAAGAAGACATTTATGCAGCCAAAAGAAAAAAAATGCTCATCATCACTGGCCATCAGAGAAATGCAAATCAAAACTACAATGAGATACCATCTCACACCAGTTAGAATGGTGATCATTAAAAAGTCAGGAAACAACAGGTGCTGGAGAGGATGTGGAGAAATAGGAACACTTTTACACTGTTGATGGGACTGTAAACTAGTTCAACCATTGTGGAAGTCAATGTGGCAATTCCTCAGGGATCTAGAAGTAGAAATACCATTTGACCCAGCCATCGCATTACTGGGTATATACCCAAAGGATTATAAAACATGCTGCTATAAAGACACATGCACACATATGTTTATTGTGGCACTATTCACAATAGCAAAGACTTGGAACCAACCCAAATGTCCAACAATGATAGACTGGATTAAGAAAATGTGGCACATATACACCATGGAATACTATGCAGCCATAAAAAAAGATGAGTTCATGTCCTTTGTAGGGACACGGATGAAGCTGGAAACCATCGTTCTCAGCAAACTATCTCAAGGACAAAAAACCAAACACTGCATGTTCTCACTCATAGGTGGGAATTGAACAATGGGAACACATGGACACAGGAAGGGGAACATCATACACCAGGGCCTGCTGTGGGGTGGGGGAAGGGGGGAGGGATAGCATTAGGAGATATACCTAATGTTAAATGACGAGTTAATGGGTGCAGCACACCAACATGGCACATGTATACATATGTAACTAACCTGCACGTTATGCACATGTACCCTAAAACTTAAAGTAAAAATATATATATATATATTGAATGAATGAATGAATGGCAAATTTCAGGTTATTTAGTGCAACATACTGTCAGAAATAGAAGTTGTACTGTATACATAATTGTAATTTTGAGAAAGTCTTAATGTATACATAATGATGATCTTTTTCTAGCAATTTTCAAGTCGTATTCTTATCTTCCTCCTGAACATGATGAAAACGTTGGCATGCTTTAAATATCCACTGATTATCCTCCTTATCTTGTTATGCAGAAATTCAGTTTTGCATTTTTAAACACATGAAATAAGTTACTAATTTTGTAGTCACTAGCAATTAAATCTAGCAGTACTCAAAAAATCAAAAAAAAAGAAAAGACATTTTATATTTCACTTTCAATTAAGGACCTTGATTGATACAATCAGATTTTTAATGTCAGTTTAAATTTAACTAGAAAACCCTATGAAAAGTAAGGGCAGTGATCCCAGGGATTTAGGAATATAAATGTATTTTAAAATATTTAGCAGACAAAATTAAAAGGATCTTATGTTGAATTTGTGGTAATGAGACAAAATAGCAGAGATTAAGTCCCAAATGTCAAATTGACCTCCATCCAATTTGTGGAATCCATGTATATATCTTTGCATTTTCTTACCATGCTGTAAGTACTGAATAATTATTCAGTAATTGAAAAGATATTTAGCCTTTAAAAGTCATTGTCTATTTTTTTCCAGATTTAAAAGGCAAGTAAAAAAAATTTAGTAGTGGTGGTTGACATAAATCTTACAAAAGGAAGCTACTTATTACTTCTGTGGAAACATGAGGGATCACCTCCACCTCACCCGCTTTATCTCCTATGTGAGCTTTCTGCCCAGGTATAGGAAACAAATTGATACAAGATGGATTAATGAAGGAAAAGCATATGAGTTTTATGCATTTCACATGTACATGGGAATCCTCACAAGAGTGTGAAATCTAAATAAATGGTCAAAGCAAGATGTCTTTATACTTTTAGAAACAGAATGATAAATTGCAGAAAAAATTACAAAGAAAAAAAAAGAGACACTGGCTCGAAACCATAAATTCCAGGGGAGTCCCTAGGAGGTATATGGGGGTGTAAAGATAGTGAAAAATAAGAGTTAATTCTGGTAGTTTATTTATTCAGGTACACTGCATTCCCCCAATTCCCAGGCTGTAGTGATAAGGGCTATTTTATATTCCATTACAGGGAGGGTACCGAAAGAGTATTAGAATGTACCAAAGACTCCTGGAGGAATCTTTAGAGCTTGCTGCATGCCAAAAAAGACAGGTCAGATAACCTCTTCCTCTAATGTTAACCAAAATTTCTTCAATGTTTTCAGCTCAAACTAATAAATATGCCAACTTAGCATATTTGTGGATGGCATATCATTCATTCCTTCAATTTACCCTATTTGACTATTGAACCACAGCTCTATTTGACTATTGAACCACAGCTTCTTGTGATGAGAAAGATACTCATCCTTTAAAATAGAAAGAATACTCATGTCCCTTTCCATAAATCAAATTTTGCTAATGTAATACATAAGAAATCTCTAAATGCACAGAGTCTATGTTATGAAATCCACATAGATACATAGATACCGCATGATATAAAATTTGCATCTCCTAGTCTAAGGACATGAAACAATTAAAGAATGACTGTGAAGTGCGAAATAATAACCACAGCATAACATTTGCATACAAAGAACAATGGCTAAAACGAGGCACAATGAACAGTGAGCCAAGGACTCTGTGAGGTAATGAATTCGTTAATTTCCCCATCAAGAGGAATTATCGTCCAACTTTCAAAATTATCTGGAGTACATTCTCATAAACAATGTAGTAAATGACAGTAGATTTGAATAATTTGACTTCTTTTTCTGTTGTTCTTCTTAATGACCTTAAGGGGAAAGGAGTGGCCTCTAAGTGAAGACAGCATGTTAGAGGGGTGACCTCTTTATCTCCAATCCCAGGGTCATTGGCATGAAAAATAGGATTACCATTGCCTCTACAGGAATGTCAGCAGTAAATGTCAGTGATGCCATTTACTGATCAGGTACAAGGCACCCATATTGTTTTTCAGTAAACTAACTTCAGAGAGATGGAATGATTTCCCCAAGGCCATGGTATGTCAGAGAAAATCACAGAGCTAGGTCTCCTGATTCCCTCCATGAATCACTACCTGAAATGGGTATAGGGTCTGAACCAGACACCACTGCTTAATTCAGTCCTCCCTCAGGCTCTTTCCAATAATAATAATTAACAAAAACAGCAGACATTCTTAGACTATTCAAGCTGCTATGAAAAAATATCTTAAACTGTGGTAACCTATAAACAACAGAAACATATTTCTCAGAGGTGTGGAAGCTGGGAAGTCCAAGACAAAGTGCCTGAAGATTCAGTGTCTGGAGAAATCTTGCTTTCTGGTTCATAGATGGTGGCTTCTATGACATCATAGATGGCACCGTCTACTGTGACCTCACATGGTAGAAGGGATGAACAAGCTCCCTCGAGCCTCCTTTAGAAAGGCATTAATCTTATTCAAGAAGGTGCTACCCTCATGACCTAATCATTTCCCAAAAGGCCCCTACTCCTAATACTCTCATTTTAGGGGTTTAGATTTAAACATATAGATTTTCAGAGGATACAAACACTCAGACCATCACACATTCCCACCACTATCCTAGACTGCATGATGTCATTCACTTCCTGTCCACTCTTTCCATCCTTCTCAGGACTGGCCTCACGGGCATATGCACAGGGTTCACACTCAAAGGGCTCCATGCATGGTTTCATGCTCTTCTGTTGTCATTGAAATATCTAATAATTTCATCTCTGAGTATGAATGTGATAGAGGAGCTAGACAGGCTGGCAGTGTTAGCACGCAGTTTGGGTCCACTGGTAGTGACTACACAAGTGGGCTCAGGCAACAACCACATGGGGCAATTGGCCTGGTCTTCTCATGCGCGCACGCGCGCACACACACACACACACACAAACACACACACATCTTGTAATACTTCACAGCACCACAGGACCCAAGCAGTGTCTGGGGTATGCCTGGGCTCATATTGATGGTGATGACAGAAGCAGCAGTGCAGGTGGCAGTAGGGTCCAAGTGTCCCTAGCTTGGAAGAGAGGAGGTGCTTGCCCTGGCAGCAGCAAGTGACTGCTGATGGGATGCCTATTTTCCCTCTGTCCCAGAGCCCACGCCTGTTGTATTCATTGAATATCAGAAAAGAAAAAGCCAGGAAGATTAGCAGTAAACATTGTTAGCAAACTATTACAAAATAAAAATATACACTGCTCATTGCAGCAAAACACAAAAAGGACTTACTCTGATTCATAAGACAAGTTCAAAATGTGTGTTTTAACTGCAACAACATTGCAAAACAAATATCCACAGGCTTAGAAATAGAAATGATGTTAAAGAGCATTTCAAGAATTTTAACTATGTAATACTTTACTGTTAACTTTAGTCATAGAAGAGAACAATAGAATTTATTTCTACAAAATACTGATGAAAGGAAATGAAGAAGAATACAAACAAATCGAAAGACATCCAATGCTTGTGGATTGGAAGAATTATTATTATTTAAATGACCAAACCTCAGATTCAATGCAATGTCTGTCAAAATACCAATGACATCTGCACATAAATAGTAAAAACAATTCTAAGATTTGTATGAACTATGAAAGACCCCAAACAGCCAAATCAATCCTGAAAAAAAGAGCAAAGCTGGAAGCATAACAGTAGCAAACTTCAAACTATACTACAAAGATGTAGTAATCAAAACAGAATAGTACTGGCATAAAAACAGATGCATAGAACAATGACACAGAACAGAGAATTCAGCAATAAATCCACGTATCTCTAGCTAACTGATTTAATTTTTTATTTTTAATCACTATGGATACATAATAGTAATATGTAATTATAGAGTGTATGTGATGTTTTGAAAAACACGTACAATGTGTAATGATCAAATCAGGGTAATTGGGATAACCAGCACCCCAAATATGTATCATTTCTCTCTGTTGGGAACATTCCAATTCCAAACTTTCAGTTATTTTTTAATATATACAATATATTCTACAATGAATTATTGTTTGCTACAGTCACTCTGTTGTGCTACCACATACTGGCTCTTATTCGTGCTATCTATATTTTTACAACCATTAACCGTCCCCACTTTATCCCCCCTCCCCTATACCCTTCCGATCCTCTGGTGACCACCAGTCTATTATCTATTTCTATTAGCTCAATTTTTAAAATTTTTAGGTCCTAGGTAGGAGTGAGAACATGCAAAATCTGTCTTTCTGTGCCTGACATAGTTAAATGATATCTGACAACAATGCCAAGAACATTTATTGGGAAACTGACAGTCTCTTCAATATAAGGTGCTTGTAAAACTGGATATCCATATGCAGAAAAATGAAACTAAACTCCCAATTCTTACACTATACCAAAATCAACATAAAATGGGTTAAAGACCTAAGTGTAATCATTCTTGATCACTGATGGCATCTTCCAATACTTGTTGTTGATCTAAAATTTACCTGATGTTAAATCATTTCCCTGGGATTCATTCCACTACAGAAAGCATAAACTTGTCACAGGCCATCCAGAGTGGTATCAGGACTTAAGAACCACTGATGAGCCTTCTGCTAAATCTCAGTAATAATAAGTCCCCCTAAATTGAAAGAAAGAGTAACTGGTACGTTAAGTGTCTAAGATAAGAAACAGAAAACATCTTATGGCTTTCAATTAGATCCACCAAGTCAAGAGATTTTTGGTTTTGTTTTAGACATAACCAAAAAAAAATTTTAATTACTGGAAAATAAATTGACAATAATAAAATTGTTATGCTGAGTGCCAACTTCAGTTAGGCCATTTTCATTTTCATTTCTGCATGACCAAAAAAAAAATTCTTATTGACAACATATTAGCAAAAATATGTACTTTCAAAATTTTTGGAAAAAGGCCATCAAGAAAAAAGGTTTCTTAGAATTATATATATATTTGTAAAACAATTTTGTCCATATATCAGTGATTTTCTTCTTCCGTTGGTTAGTTTTAGTCCTGCACTCTAGGAAGGACATAATATTTTAATTACTATACACTGCTGAATGGATGTGTATCTGAGTCCTGAGACCTTAGGCAGAAAGTGTTTCTACATTTTCACAGAGCAGATTCTCTGACTCACTCGTGTCAGGGCCCCCATCACCTCCTTGTTCCTCAGGCTATAGATGATGGGGTTGAGCATTGGGGTGAGGATGGTGTAGAAGACAGCCAGAACCTTGTCCTCTGTTGGAGATCGCAGGGATCTTGGACGTAGATAAGTGTAGACAAAAGGTGCATAGTAGAAAGTTACTACAGTGAGGTGGGTGCTGCAGGTCAAATAGGCTTTCTTCCTCCCTTCTGCAGATTTCATGTGGTAGACAGCAAAGAGAACCTGGCCATAGGAACATGAAATACCAATGAAGGGAAACACGAGAAAGATGGTGGCACTCAAAAACACTGTGCCCTCATAGACCCAGGTGTCCATGCAGGCCAGAGTCACCATTGCTGGGACATCACAGAAGAAATGATTGATGGCCCTGGATCGGCAATAAGGAATATGGAGTACATATACAGTGTGAGCACAAGCATTGATCGAGCCTATGATCCAAGACCCTGTTATCATCAGCACACACACTCTTTTGCTCATGCGGATGAGATAGTGGAGAGGAAAGCAAATAGCAATGTAACGATCATAGGCCATAGATGCCAAAAGTAGTGCTTCTGCACCTCCTAATGCCAAGAAGAAGAAACTCTGAATCCCACACCCAGTGAAGGAGATAGACTTGTTTCCATGCAGAAAATCAGATGCCATCTTAGGAACAATGGTGGAGATGTAATTTAGGTCAATGAGGGAGAGCTGACTCAGTAGGAAATACATGGGTGTGTGGAGATGGGTGTCCAAGAAGATGAGAAGAATCATGGACAGGTTTCCAATTAGAGCCATCAGGAAAATGAAAACAATGAGAATGAAGAAGAAAAGGTCAATTCTTGATGGTGGAAACAGCCCCAATAAGATGAAATCAGTTGATGTTTGATTGTAATTTTCCATGGAGCATTCCTACAATCCATTCGGAAGGGAGACACAAGAGTAATTTACGTACAGTAATTCGCCCTTATCTGCAGGGGATGCATTCCAAGCCCCCCCAGTGGATGTTTGAAACTGCAGTTGATACTGAACCCTAAATACACTATTATTTTTGTCTATACATACTTCTGATAAAGTTTAATTAATAAATTAGACAAGTAAGAGATTAACAAGAGTAACTGATAATAAAATAGAACAATTATACAGTATACTATAAATATGTGAATATGATCTCTATCTTTCTCAAAATCTTTTATTGTACTGTACTCAGACTTCTTTGTTCTGATTTTTACCTATTTTGAAAAAAGAAATCTTATTTTCTTACCCAGAGTTTCACATTTGATGAGATCAACATTTGTTACTAGTTTTTTTCTGAGAAATATGTAAATTTATAAGAAAGATACCTCTATTACAACTTCAATAGAATATGAATGGTTTACTGCCTGACGCAAACTCAGATACATTCAAAGTCAAATATTATACTGAATACCTATGCATAGAAAGTCACTATAAATGCATACATTACAGATTTATATTTGAATAAATTAGTCTTACCTTTATAGAATGATCTGTTATATTTCCACACTTATTCTTTTTCTTTTTTTTTAAGTGACAGGGTCTCTCTCTGTTACCCAGGCTGGAGTGCAGTGGCAAGATCATAGCTCACTGCAGCCTTGAACTTCTGGGCTCAAGTGATCCTCCTGCCTCAGCCTCCTGAGTAGCTGCGACTACAGCCACGTGCCACAATGCCTAGTTAACTTTATACTTTTGTAGACATGAAGTGTCACTGTGTTTCTCAGGCTGGTTTTGAACCCTCGGCCTCAGTAATCCTCCTGTCTCGGCCTTGCAAAGTGCTGTGATTGCAGGCAACAGCTCCCCACCCAACCCATGTTTATTCTGTCAGATTTACTTCTAAAACTGCAGCAGCTTGTCTCTCATTTTGAGAAACTTGAATGATCTTTGTGCAATAATGCCAAGTCAAACTTCTTTTGTCAGTTATAATTTGGTCCTCCTATTTAGAAACCTAGAATAAATCCTTATTGCTATGTCCCTTTTACGGAAAGTCATATTAATCCACACTCTTGATTTTCAATATTCATCATCATCCATTCTCTTTGGCCTCCTCGCCTAATTTCAGAATACTCTATTTAAAGCAGACCCCTTACCAAATATGTTACAGATTTTGTCTTTTGCTTCTCTAGTGATTAGATAACATTACACATTGCTTTATGGATCCTTCAAAAGAATGCACTTGGAGGAGCATGCAATTGCCTAAATAAAAAAAAGAAACTAAAATTCTGACAGACTTCTAGGTAGAGGTGTGTTAGAAATTCCACTCCAGATGTAAGACATCAGTAAACAGCTTTGCACAGTAAGCCTAAAAGAACCAGAGTTTTTAGGCTTAAATATTAGTCTAGAGCCAAAGATCACCAGAATTTGGAGCAAGTATAACAACATGTACGAGGAAGATTCCCAGTGTGCAAACACACACAAATATGCACAATCACACACAGTCATATGCATAAATACACTGACTTTAAAATGATTAAAATATGCAGAAAGAATAGTTTTTTGTGATCAAAATTCCTTTCTTCAGAGATGTATGATCTGTTATGAAATCCATAAAATAAATATCATTTGCTATATGAAAGGATGTGACACGTAACATTAAAGAACTTTTGAAAACTAAAATTGTATTAATTGATAAAAATATTAAGCGGAAGTTTCAAAAGACAAAGTAAGAAAACTCTATTTGAAGGTAAACAAAAGCAATAACCACATGAAAAGACTGCTATTTAGGGAAGATAGAAAAATGAGGGGATTCATACAGGAGGACCAATATGTGCTTAAGGACATTCCTAGAAAGGGATATAGCAAAATAATAGTGAAGTTAGTATTCTTAAAAAAATTTCTCTCAACTGAAATATATTAACTATCATGTTCAAATGCAATAGTTTTTTTTTGTATTGCAGCAATAAATTCTGTAAGATGAAATGATGTTGTCAACCCCTCATTGCAGACATAAAGTGGAATGTAATTCTGCTGTGACAATGGGAGAAGGGTAAGGAACCTGGGGGTGATTATGGAGGAGGGAGCAGGTCGCTATCCATGCTAGCATATATCATGGGTCAAGGAATGCTATTTGGGATATAGAAATCAGGCATTAGCAGATGAACATATTGTCTAAAAATACAAGGGCAAATATGGGGAAAAACTGGAAAGATAAATTGAAGTCCTTGCCTTTGGGGTCAGCAAGAGTTTGTTATGTTTCTAACATTTTACCCTGTGGTCTGCTGAGACTATGTCTATGCATTACTTGAATAAAACATTAAAGTGATGTAAAAATTTTGTCCCAGTTAAGAATTTAACCTGCAGCTTCATCATAATAATGAAGGACTGGCAGCTTTTAGTCTGAGATTTGGAACAAGACACTACAGTCCACTTTCCCGGCTTCTGTTCAACATATTACTGGAAGTTCAGTCAAAGCAATTAAATAAGAAAGAAATAAAAATATCTTAATTCAAAAGAAAAGTAAAATTATTTCTGTTTGCATATGACATAATTATATATGTAGAAAACTTAGGATAAGCAATAAACAAAATCAGGAAAATTATAGGATGTAACATCAACAACAGCCAAAACCTGCTGTACTTCTATACACTAACAATAAACAATCTGAAAATTGCACTCTCATTTTATTAACAATAGTATCAAAAAGAAATGAAACACTTAGAATAAACCAAACCAAGGAGGTGAAAACTTTACACACTGAAAATGACAAAATGCTGATTACAGCGATTAAAGAAGACAAAAATAAATGGAAATGCATCCTACATATTTATTTATCGAAGGCTAATACGGTTAAGATGTCAACAATACCCAAAGTCACCCATTGGTGTGCTGTATTCGAGAGACACATCTCATGTGCAAAAATGCACATAGACTCAAAATAAAGGGATAGAGGAAAATTTACCAAGTGAATGGAAAGAAGGAAAAAGCAGGGGTAGCAATCCTAGTTTCTGACGAAATAGACTTCAAACCAACAAAGGTCAAAAAAGACAAAGAAGGGCATTTTGTAATGTTAAAGAATTCAATTCAACAGGAAGAACTAACCACTTTAAATGTATATGCACCCAATCCAGGAGCACCCGGATGCATAAAACAAGTTCCTAGACACATACAAAGAGTCTTAGACTCCCACACAATAATAGCGGGAGACTTTAATACCCCACTGTCACTATTAGATCTTGAGCCAGAGAATTAACAAAGATATTCAGGACTTGAACTCAGCTCTAGACCAAGTGGACCTGATAGATATCTACAGGACTCTCCATCCAAAAACAATATACATTTTTTCACCACCATATGGCACTTACTCCAAAATTGACCACATAATTGGAAGTAAAACACTCCTCAGCAAATACAAAATAAATGAAACCATAACAAACAGTCTGTCAGACCACAGCACAATCAAATTAGAACTCAAGATTAAAATATCCCTCAAAACCACACAACTACATGGAAATTGAACAACCTGCTCCTGAGTGACTCCTGGGTAAATAATGAAATTAAGGCAGAAATCAAGAAGTTCTTTGAAATCAATGAAAACAAAGAGACAACTTATCAGAATCTCTGGGATGCAGCTAAATCAGTGTTAAAGGGGAAACTTATGGCACTAAATGCCCACAGCAAAAAGCTAGAAAGATCTCAAATCGACACCCTAACATCACAACTGAAAGAACTGGAGAACCAAGAGCAAACAAACCCCAGAGCTAGCAAAAGGTAAGAAATAACCAAGATCAGAGAGAAACTGAAGGACATGGAGACACAAAAAACCCTTCAAAAAATTAATGAATCCAGGAGCTGGTTTTTGAAAAAAAAAATCAATAAAATAGATAGATCATTAGCAAGACAAATACAGAAGAAAAGAGATAATATTCAAACAAACACAATCAGAAACCATAAGGGAAATACCACCATTGATCCCACAGAAATACAATCATCAGAGAATACTAATATAAATTATTCTATTATAAAGGTACATGCACGTGTATGTCCATTGCAGCACTATGCTCAGTAGCAAAGATGTGGAATCAACCCAAATGCCCATTAATGATAGACTGGATAAAGAAATTGTGGTACGTATACACCATGGAATACTATGCAGCCATACAAAGGAACAAGATCATGTCCTTTGCAGGGACATGGATGGAGCTGGAAGCCATTATCCTCAGCAAACTAATGCAAGAACAGAAAAGCAAACACTGCATGTTCTCACTTGTAAGTGGATGCTGAACAATGAAAACACATTGACACAGGGAGAAGAACCACACTTACTGGGGCCTGTTGGGGGAGGACAATTTGGGGGAGAGCATTAGGGAAAAGAGATAATGCATGCTGGGCCTAACACCTAGGTGATGAATTGATAAAAGCAGCAAACCACCATGCCACATGGTTACCTATGTAACAAAACTGCACATCCTGCATATGTACCCTGAAACTTAAAAACAAACAATAAAATAATTATTAAAAAAATAATAAAGCATGCAAAGCAAAAAAAAAGATTCAATGGAATCTCCATCAAAATTCAAATAAATCTTTTTTCTCACAAACAGAAAGCTCATCCTAAAATTTATATGAATCTTAAAGGATCCTCAATATTCAAAAAATCTTGACTTTTTTTAAAAAAGAACAAAATTTAAAGACTCATCCTTTCTGATTTTAAAACTTACTCAAAGCTATAGTAATCAAAACAATGTGGCACTGGCACAAAGCCAGACATATAGCCCAACAGAGGAAAACAGAGTCAAGAAATAGACTCTCATATACATGGCAACCTTTTTTCAAAAAGGGAACTAAGTCCACTCGTGGAGAAGGGACAGTCTTTTCGATAAATGGTGTTTGGAAAAGTGGATATTTACATTCAAGATATTGAAGTTGGATGTTTACTTTATAGTATATAGAAAAATTAAGTCAAAATGAATCAAAAATCTAAATGTAAGAGAAAAAATTATAAAAGAATAGTTGGGGGAAATGTCAAATAATAAAGGCACTGTGGAAAATGATACAGATGCTTCTCACTTACAGTGGAGTTTCACCCTGAAAAAACCATCATAAGTTGAAAATACTGTAAGTAAAAAGTTAATATCCTGATAAACTCATCATAACATAAAAAGGTGCAAGTCAAACCATCATATGTCCAGGTGCTCCTCAATTTACACTGGGGTTATGTTTCGATAAATTCATCATAAAGTCAAAAAACATCAAATTATTGTAAATCTGGAACCATATGTGTAGGAATTCCTCAAAATTTAAACATAGAATTAGTATATGATCCAACAATTTCAGTGTATCCAGTAAATAAAAGCAGACACCTGAACAGATATTTTTGGATTTTTTTTTATTCAGGGAGTACATTTGTGGTTTGTTACATGGTTATATTGTGTGATGCTGAGGTTTGGGCTTCTGTTGAACCCTTCACTAAAATAATGAACATAGTACAAATAGGTAGCTTTCCAACCCTTGCCTCCTCCCTCACTCTCCTCTTTTGGAGTCCCCAGTGTCTACTATTCCCATCTTTATGTCCATGTGTACCCAATGTTTAGCTCCCACTTATTTGTTACTCTGTTTTTGCATCAAACAAATATTTCTATGCCCATGTTTATAGCAACATTATTCACAATAGCCCAAAGGCAGAAAGAAAGAAAGTGCTCATCTACAGAAGAATCAATAAAAATGTATGTATATATAGTTTTAAAAAGAGAAGACATTTTGACGCATGCTACAACATGGATGAACCTCGAATATATTATGCTAAGCGAAATAAGTCCGTCACAAAAGACAAATATTGTATGAATTCGCCTACACGAAGTACCCAGAGTAGTGAAATTCATAGAGAGAGGAAGTGGAAGAGTGGACCCCAGGGAATGGGAGAAGGGAGAGAAGGAGAGTAATTGTTTAACAAGAACAAAGTGTTAGTTGGAGACAATGAAACTGTTTTGGATATGCACGATAGGGATGATTGCACAATATAAATGTGCAATGACACAGAACTCTACACTTAAAATGGTTAAAATGGTGTTTCTCTTATATATATTTACCCTAATAAAAATCATTTAAATGCACTGAAACTATTCTAATTTAATTTCCAAATACATTTTTTAAAAATTTTGGCAGGTTTCTGCTTCTCTGCAGAGCAATTTATTTTCAGTTACTTTATGACTTTGGGCAATTTTTTATAGAAAATTTAGAACACCAAATTATTTTCATAAATGTCATTAGGAATCAATAAGAGACTGGGATTAAGACTAATCCAATATTATATAATTTATATTACTAGTTTAATTATTGGCAAGTAGAACATGTAGTACACTGAGTCAGTTTCTCAGACAAGCTCGGTAGCCCCACTGGTTCCGTGGACCCACTGGAATTCAGGATCTAGAAAACATTTTATGTAGAAAACTTGAGGTTTCCTAATATTAAAGATGATATCTAAAGAAGCAATTAAGGGAAATGAGGACCTTGTGACAGGGGCTACATGACTTTTAAGCACTAAGCAGCCACACAAAATAGGTTATTGGGCAAGCTGGTTCATGCTTACTGTATGCTTCTACTAAAAGTTTATGCTTTTGGTTAAAAACCCAGAATTTAGTTTTATTCATTTTGTGAGGATGGTTTCCAGATGATTTGCACCCATGAGTTTGAGACCAGTCTGGGCAACTTATTCCAATTATTTTTAGGCCCAATATGTAAGTGAGATCATGTAGTTTTTTTGTGTATGTGTGTATCTGAAAGCCAGTCTGGATTGAAGGACAGAAAGAAAGGAAACCAAGACTGGTACTGGGAGGCTACAGTCATAGTAACACAATAATTCCCAGTATTTACCAGCTTGTGAGACCAAATGGGAATTAATCATGATTGGGATTCTCACTAGGAAGGCTCCATGCCACAAAATCTGAAACATACAGAAACTTTAAGATGCCGAAGAGAATAAGAGACATTCCTGTATCCCTGCCACACATTGTATTCATTAATGAAATGAAGAGACAGCCTTTGTACACAGCTCTGAGTCACACTCCATCACTAGGTTCTATAGGTACCAATGCTTGTCCATTTGTTTCACAAATTCTTTCATGACAAGGTCTCTCTCTTTCATGACAAGGTCTCTCTCTCTCTCTCTTTTTCTCTATCTCTCTCCATTCGGCGTCTGTCCAAATAGCACCACAGGAATTTGTTGGTTTAATTGAGGAATCAAGACCAAAATCCATCTATTTTTTTCATCTTCCATGTCTATTTCTCCAAGTATCATGCATATAACAAACTTCTTACATATTCCATATCTCCTTTACAATGACCATGTAAATAAATAAATGAGGGGCATGGTAATGCTAGTTCATCAGAAAGTCTAGTATCCATTCACCATTCTTTATATATCTAAACTCTCTTTTGACATGCCTCAGAGAGCAAACCTTTCAATATCTATGATATAACCCAAATACTTACTCCTCTACCTGACTTATAAGTCTCCAAAATTAACAGCAACAAAATAAAATTGATGAGCAGGACCTAACTAAATGAAAGAACTTCTGTGCAGCAAAAGAAACTACCAACAGAGGAAACAGCCAACCTACAGAATAGGAAATAATATTTGCAAACTAAGCATCTGACAAATATCTAATGCCCAGAATATATAGGGAAGTTAAATAAATCAACAAGCAAAAAACAACCCCATTAAAAAATGCACAAAGTACATGAACAGACACATCTCTGAAGAAGACATACAAGTGGCCAACAAGCATACGAAAAAATACTCAGCATCACTAATCATCACAGAAATGCAAATCAAAACCACAATGAGACACCATTTCATACAAGTCACAATGGCTATTACAAAAAATTTAAAAAAAAGCACAGATGTTGATGAAGCTGCAGAGAAAAGGGAATTCTTATATGCTGTTGGTGGGAATGTAAATTAGTCCAGCAGCTATGGAAAGCAGTCTGGAGATTTCTCAAAAAATTTAAAAAGGATACCATTTGACGCAGCAATTCCATTGCTTAGCGCGCGCACACACACACACACACACACACACGCACGTATGCACACACACACACAAAATCATTCTACCAAAAAGGCACATGCATTCATATGTTCATTGCTGCACTATTCACAACAGCAAAGACATACATTCAACCTAGGTGCTCATCAACAGTGAGTTGGATAAGGAATACCTATAGGTTTTCTGTTAAATTCAACCCAAAACTTTGATAACAATTATTGTTACTGTCTTAAAGTTTCCAATTATAGAAGGCAAAGTAACACTTTCACCCATTAAAGCTTGCTATGATACCTTTATATTTTGTTAAATACTTTATGATATTTATTAAATATACAAAATCTAGTTAACTTGATAAAATTAACTTAAAACATTTACCTCATTAAAATGTTTTTCTAGTTTTTCCTATTAATAAAACCATTTAAAAGTATTCCTAATAGAAACATTTATTTTTCTCTTTGCAATAACTTTTAGGATAAATTGTTAGAAGGGTTTGTAAAATATAAGCCTGTATGTATACATGAAATAAGACATAATTTTCAGGATATTCTTAAATATTGTATTCATGCTTCCAACAAAGAATGAGAAACTTGATTTGACTACAATCAATGTATGTAAGTATGTGTATGTATATATGTGTATGTGCATGTATTTTTCACTTGAGGAAACTAAAGTGTCAAAACAAACCATTCAATGAATAATGGTAATTTCAAGTGGAGTTGTAGATTTTTGAAAAGAAACTGATTGTGAGACTTGAAATACAATTTTAGGAAGTTTCATAAAAACACAGATATTATATTAGTACATGTTTTTAATATAATGGTTTGATTGTATTTCAAATGTAATTCTTATATATTCTTACAATTTTAGTGGGAGGGTGGTGGAAGCCTTAGGTTATCTTTGTCTTTCTAGAGTGTGTTGAGTGATTGAAATCGGTACCCACAAGAGGAACAATACATTTTTAGACATGCATTGAAAAAACAAACATATGTAAAAACTTTATTATTATTGGGGTTTTGAAAATATCCACATCTTTCTACACTTAGAAAGACAGAAGGTTCGGTTTTCTTTCCAAAGAAACTAACAACACTCTATAGACATTGAATGTGGAAATAGAGGGAATACACAAGTGAAAGGAATTTTCCTATTCTTTTTTTTATGTAGAATGTTGCTCTAGAGCATATTTTTCATTGCCACCAGAACACTGTCAGTGCCAACGCTGTAGACGACAGGATTGAGTGTAAGTGCAAGGAAAGCATAGAATATTTCTAGAAACTTAACCTGGCCTGAAATGTGGATGATTTAAGTCTCATATACATATGTGAAAATGAATGAGTCCCAGTATGTTACAACTGCAATCATGAGGATGGACCAAGTGGAAAATGACCTTTTCCATGCCTGTGATAATTTCATCTAGAGGACACCTCACAGAATTTGGACAGAAGAAGCAGAAATCATAGAGAAAGGAATGAGCAAAAATATGATGCTGCTTACATTAACTCCTCATTCACCCTCTAGTGTTTCTACATAAGAGAATCTGATGTAGATATAAGAATATATATTTCTTTCCTAAAATAAGTTTCAATTTGTTTACTTACTAAGCCAGGTAGCAGTTTATTAAGCAGAATCGATTTACTTAGGCACTATAGAGACTAGTGGCTAATAGCCTCTTAAACTCTCTAAGCGAATACAAAATTTTACCTTATTTTGTCTAATTAATGTCTTGCATCCTTTACTTATAGCATAAGAACTCAATAGAAAAAGCTGCGTTTCTTCTCAAATGAATTGCCACAAAAGTTTAAAGGACATATCCAGCTACCAGCGACCTACAACGGAATGTTCAAAAGACTATGTGTATCTCCACCACAATACCCAGGTATCTGAACACGCACCACTACAAATGCATGTCTTTAGATTGTGATAGGCTTTACCTTTAAGCCTAATTATTTCTATGTGCAGTACTTTAGGTATGTGGTTAATGTTTAAAATATCTTACTTTCCACTTCCAATTTCATCCAAGTATGCTTTACAATCCCACACTGATTGAACCATGCTCTTTACACTCTTTATTAAGAAAAATATATGTGTGTGTGTCAGTGTGTATGTGTGCATGTGTGTGTGGGCATGTTTATTTACATGAAGTCTTCTACTACCCTCAATGTAGGCGTTTCTATGTTTCTATATCCCCAACAGGAAAAAAATGTTTTTTAGCCCTATCACAGATTATTTTTGTATTTTAATCTGGAAATTTGTAAATCTATGAATTCTGACTTCTAAACTTCTATATCATCCTCAGATCTGTTCAGCAGAATGACTTTCTCTTGCTTACAATAATATCTTGCTATTCGGATTTTTACTGTCTCTGATTTCATGCTGCTCTTGGGTCCACATTAGGTATTATTATGAGTTGTAAAAGCAGGCTTTAAAAAAATACAGCACCTGATGCATCTAATATTAACATTAGCACTTCCAGTCAATTTTGAACGTCTCTTAGCAATACATTTTTATATATCATTATATTAGTAATTTTACTCATTCTCTACTGAAATAAAACTCCTTAGCACACCAGGGATAGGAGACTGTTACAGGACTGGAATCAAGTAAAAAAACTCAATTGTCAGGGAAAAAATGTTATTAATATATAATAATTGCTTATTTTATGTCTAAATTATGAACATTAAATAGTTGTATTATTAGAAGATAATTTCATAGTTTATTTAAGGTCCTTAATATATATTGCCACACTGTTCTTTTTAAAATGTTTGTACCATATTTCATGTATGCCTACAATATGTTATGATGTCCAATTCACCAAAATATGGTTAACATTTATTACTATTGTTTTTAATTTTCCAATTGTGAAAGGCTAATCATTTTTCATTAAAGTTTCATATATATCTTCATATTTTGTTAAATATTTATTTCTATAGTATAAAACATTTAGTTGGCATGCTATAATAAAATTAACCTGAACATTTATTTCATTAAAATGTGTTTTTCTAGTTTTTGCTATGAATAACATTACTTAGGGGAGAGGCGCTCAGGGGAGTGGGTCCCAGCGGCAGCTGAGCCTGGGAGAGGAGGCCCCAGAGCCAGCCCCATCCCTGAGCTGCTGATGGGAGGGGAGGAGTCCCCTGAACCAGCCCCGTAGCTGAGGGGTTGATGGAAGAGGAGGCCCCAGAGCCAGCCCCATCCCTGAGCTGCTGATGGGAGGGGAGGAGTCCCCTGAACCAGCCCCGTAGCTGAGGGGTTGATGGAAGAGGAGGCCCCAGAGCCAGCCCCATCCCTGAGCTGCTGATGGGAGGGGAGGAGGGCTGACAGTCGGGAGCAAGAAGGGAGACTGCGGTAACCGCCCCGTCCCCAGGGGGCCTCTCGTCTGATACCTCGGTCTGGAAGGCGTGCCCAGCTGCCCTTCCGCAGGAGACACCAGTGTGTAGAGCAGAGCCCTTCCTTTCGAGAGGGTCTTCACGCTCTCATCGTGGTCGGCGGTCGCGGGAGAGGGGCCCTCCTGGACCCGCAAGCACGCCCACTACTGCCAAAGACGCCGCGGCTGGTCTCGCAGCAGCGCGTCCTCCGGCAGCCCCAGCGAGTGAGCCCGGGGCTCGGGTGCGGAAGATGATAAAGAGGCTCCACCTGGTGGCCGCAGCGGGTCCTGAAGGAGCGCGTCCTCCGGCAGCCCCAGCGAGTGAGCCCAGGGCGCAGGTGCGGAAGATGATAAACAGGCGCCACCTGGTGGCCGGGTCGGTGATTGGCCCCAAGAGCAATAAAGACAAGTGGGAACCTGGGCCAAGGCGCCTGTGGCAAGGGGGTGAGTGCTTGGACCCTGCCAGAAGGACGTCTCGGGTTGCCGGAGGGTCATCTGCAATGTGGGCAAGCACCGGGAGGCGGCACCGCCAAAACTCAACGCTCTCGAAAAAAATAAACGAGAAGGACTAAGAGAACCAGCTGCTGTGCGTCTTGGGGTGTGACTGGTTCACCCTCCGCGGTCCATGCATATCACCTTTGAGCTCCTGGGCAGGAAAACCCTTGAGTTCCCGAAGGAGAATAACATCCAGCCATTCCCCTCCCACATGTCTGGCACATGGCCCACCAGCTCTGCCACACCCTTAGATTTCTGCACGAGAACCGGCTGACCCACGCACACCTGAAAACCGAGAACATCCTGCATGTGGATTCTGAGTTAAACACCGTCTACAGCGAGCACAGGAGCGATGAGAAGTCAGTGAGGAGCACCAGCGTCCGAGTGGCTGACTTCCCCAATGCCACCTCTGACCGTGGGCACCACATCGCCATGGTGACCACGGTCACTGTCGCCTGCCTGAACTGATCCTTGATCTGGGCTGGACACGCCCCTGCCATGTCCAGGGCATGGGCTACCTTCTCTTTAAGTACTACCAGGTTTCACACTCTTCCAGACCTGTGAAAACCAAGAGCGCCTGGTGATGTTGAAGACCCTACGGCTCATCCCATTACGCGTGATCTCCTGTACCAAGAAGCAGAAATATTTCTACAAATGGGGCCTAGTTTGGGATGAGAACAGCTCTGACAGCCCATATGTGAAGAACTGCAAACGTCTGAAGAGTGACATGCTCCAAGACTCTCTGGAGCACGTGCAGCTGTTTGACCTGATGCGGAGGGTGGTAAAATTGGACGCTGCCCAGCACATCACTCTGGCTGAGACTCTTCTGCACCCCGTCTTTGCTGGCCTGGCAACCTCAGTCGTGGTCCTTCCACACAAGCCACAACCCAAGCAGATGACAGACGCAGGACACTGCATGAGGAGAGCGGAACTGGGCTGCCCAATCCCCATTCTCCAGCCCCTACCACCAGGTCCCAGGACCAGAACCACACAATGAGCAGTGCAATGTGAAGGAAGGCAGGAGCCTGCGGGGGAGCAGACTTGGTGCCCAGCTGCCAGAAGGCAGATTTGACTCAAGCTGTTCATACGTGTTTTTTGTTTTTGTTTTTGTTTTGTTTTTTGTTTGTTTTTTTGAGATGGAGTCTAGCTCTGTGGCCCAGGCTGGAGTGCGGTGGCGCCATCTTGGCTCACTGCAAGCTCCGCCTCCCGGGTTCCCGCCATTCTCCTGCCTCAGCCTCCCGAGTAGCTGGGACTACAGGCGCCCGCCACCACGCCCGGCTAATTTTTTTGTATTTTTAGTAGAGACGGGGTTTCACCGTGTTAGTCAGGATGGTCTCGATCTGCTGACCTCGTGATCCGCCCACCTAGGCCTCCGAAAGTGTTGGGATTACAGGCGTGATCCACCGCGCCTGGCCCATACATTTTAAACTTACAAAGTGTGTCTTAGTGTTTGTAAAAAAAAAAAAAAAAAAAAGGAAAAAAATTAAATGAATTCTCAATAGAAATATTTATTATCTTCTTTGAAATAACTATTAGGATAAATTGCTAGAAGAGTTTGTAAAACATCATCCTGTATGTATAAATGAAATAAGGCAATTTTTATGATATTCCTATCTAATATTGTATAGTTGCTTCTAGCATAGGATGAGTAATTCAATTTTAACACAACTTATATCTGTATATATGTGTGTACATATATATGTGTGTGTGCATATATATGTGTATCTGTAAAATTTTACTAAATAAAGGTGTTGATAAACCAGGCAAAGAATAATGATTTCATATGGAATTTGTGAATTTTTGATAAGTGATTGTTAGCAATATAATTTAACAAAGTTTTATAAAAATAAACATGGATTTGTCTTTTATACAATGGATGTGTGACTGTATTTTTAGGGATATTCTCATAAGTCTTACAATTTTGGTGTTAGGGAATAGGACGCCTTGGGTAACTTCTACTTCCTGTAACTGTTGCATGATTATAATTGGTACCACAGAAGGAACACTACATTTTTAGAGGTACGTGTTTACAACACAAACACATATTATTGTTTATTATTAACAATGTTTCTGAAATATTCACTTCTTATATGTGGTAAGATAGAAGCTTTGATTTCTTTCTAGGAAACCTCTCATGAGTATCCTTCAGGCATTTAACATAGAAATAGACAGAACACACATTCAGGAATTTTCCTATTCATTTTTTTGTGCAGAAAGTTACTTTTGAGCATATTTTTCATCACCGCCAGAACATCTTTATTCCTAAAGCTGTAGATGAAAGGGTTGAGTGTGGGTGTGAGGATCGTATAGAATATTGCCAGGAACTTATCCTGGCCTGGAGTGTGGTATGATTTAGGTCTCATATATGTAAAAATAAATGGCCCATAGTACATCGTGACCACAATCATGTGGAAGGAACAAGTGGAAAATGACTTTTTCCTTGCCTCTGATGATTTCATCTGGAGGACAGTAAGAATAATTTGGCCATAAGAAGCAGAGATCAAGGAGAAAGGGATCAGCAGGAAGATCACAGCACTTACACAAACCCCTCGTTCATAGCGTGTTGTGTCTGCACAGGACAACTTCAACATGGCAGGGACTTCACAGAAGAAGTGATCAATTGCCCTAGAGCCACAGAAGGGAAACTGCAGTGCATAAGCTGTGTGGACTGTGGAGTTGAAAACCCCAATGAGCCAGGAGCCTCCAGCCATGAGAGCGCTGGCATACTCCTTCATAAGAATCGGATAGCGCAGCGGGTGACAGATAGCCACATAGCGATCACAGGACATTGCAGCCAGGAGAAGGCACTCACCACCCAGGAGGGTGAGGGACAGAAATACCTGGAACCCACAACCTGCAAATGAAATAGTTCTGCTGCCTGACAGAAAGTTAGTGACCATTTTGGGAACGATGTTGGAAACATGCAAGATATCCATTAAGGAGAGATGGCTGAGCAGAAAATACATTGGAGTGTGGAGTCGGGAGTCACTGCGAATGAGGAGGATCATGAGCGTATTTTCTGTTACACTCATAATGAAAATGACAAATAAAACTAAGAAGAAGACCACACTTGTTGGGGAAGAAGAGAACAATCCCAAAAGTATGAAATCACTGCTGAAAGTGTGATTCTGATGGCCCATCATGAATTCTCTATTTTTTAACCTAAAAAGAAATAATGAATTAATAATAAAGAAAAAATATTAGTGTAAATCTTAATCTAACAATAATATACCTGCATAATAAAATGAGAGTTAGTGATGCATGTTTTGTAATCAACATCAAAATACTCTTAGCCAGTTTTTGGAGTGGGCATGTTTTACAAGCTGGGCATTTCTTTCTTCAAATAATCGATGATATTCAGTATATTGAGTGGGCCCTTGGCTCCATCTTGAGTCTCATAATCTTAATTAATTCCACATAATTTACTCAAATCTACTCTTTTCTCAAATGTCACTTTCCCAAGGAGGCCTATCCTTGCACACCCTTTAAAAAATTGTAGGGCTCCCACTTAAACCCTAATTTCCTGGTCCTCCTTGCTCTGCTCCATTTTCACATGTTTGCATGTCACTTTTCACCTTCTAGTACATTAAATAATAAACACACTGGTTATATTTACTGTTTATTTTCATTCTATGCCAGAATTTTTACTTCACAATGAGAGATCCTTGTTCTGATCACTGGTATAACCAACTGCCTGGAACAGAGCCTAGTGCATAGCAGTTGCTCAAGAATGTTGAATATTTGAATGAAATGAATGAACTGTGGAACTTGTCTTTCTGTCTATTGCATTTATTATTTAGATTAAACTTATAGAAAATAAAATGTATAATTCTAAGACTTTCCAAAATAATAAGTAATGAAATATTGTCACAAAACTCAATATGTTTATAATTTGAAACACTATATTTTAAATGTAAAAAATAGAAGTATCATCTAGTCAACATCAACAATGTGTCTTTAAGGTTGTATTTCATATTTACGTGTTTGGTTAACTTGTTGAAATTGAAGTATAATGTATTAATTCTATATGTGGGATAGTAGGTGTTCATATCATTTATTTATATTTTGATAGTGGTTACTTAAATGTTTACATAAGAGTTATTTGTGCACCTTCTGTATGTATAACATTTCCCTCAATATGCATAAATACATACATATATACTTTCACATATTAATACGTAAATTATAAAATTTATAAATACATTAGTCCAGGTTTCTGTCTTTCAAGATGCTTTATGATCATCAAAACAAATAACAAACATTAAAAAATTATTTTCCATCTTATTAACAACTACTTGTTTGAATAAAATGAGCTTAGATTTTCCCTTTTGTAAAATAAATGCAGAAGTATGTCACCGACAATATATAAATGATTATTTTAATTTTTGTGAATATTGAGATTCTTCATAAACAGATCACTTAATCCTATTTTAATTTCCTTGAATAACAACAGTTGTGTGCTATGACCTAGAAGAGTTAGAAAAGATAAGCACCTCAATGAAGTTTATAAATGTATGTGTAATTAGTCCTGCCTGTTTTTTATGTTGTTGTTTTGTTTTGTTTATTTGTTTTTGAGACAGAGTCTTGCTCTGTTGCCCATGCTGGAGTGTAGTGGTGTGATCTCAGCTCACTGCAACCTCAGCCTCCTGGAGTCAAGCAATTCTCGAGCCTCAGCTTCCGAGTAGCTTGGAATACAGGCACCACTACCAAACCCGGCTAAGTTTTGTATGTTACTAGAAATGGGGTTTCACCATGTTGGTCAGGCTGGTCTCGAACTCTTGACTTCAAATGATCCACCCACCTTGGCCTCCCAAAGTGCTGGGATTACAGGCGTGAGCCACCGCACCCAGCCATTCCTTTCCGTTTTGACTGTTTTGACCCACAGCTTTGTAAAATGTGATGATACACACAGATTCAGACTTCAGGGCAGTGGTGCCCTGCATGAGCTGATCGTAAATAAATTTACAAAATCAATAAACACTGCTGACAACTCAAATCAACACACCTATATCCGAAGTTAACTTTTCCCCACTCCCTGGAGTTATATCATTCTTCTCGTTTTACTTGTTTAATCAATGATTTACTTTATTATCATAATTCCATGCCCTACTGAATCATATGTCCTTAGCTGACTTCTGGCCCATTTTAGGTCTCATTAATTGCTTTTTACAAGAATGATTTAATTGTTTTAGTGGTCTTTGATGTAAAAATATTTTCAGCTATGCATAAATTCTCCTTCTCTGTATTTCATACTGGCTTTTACATTTTTTAGAGTTCATATCATCTACGCAATAATACCTGTATTTTTTCTTCAGAAATTGGAAGCAATCCACAATTTATTTCTTATCTCCCTCATCATCTTACTTCCAACACCATATGTCCACTACTATGAGGCACCTCATATTTCTGCAACTTTTTTTCATATCTCTTGGCTTAACCAGTCAGTCAGGGATCTGAAATATACTCCCATGATGATGGAATGATTCAAGAAAGTGTATCCTCTATGTTACCCAGGAGTATTTCAATTTTGGGTGAAATCTGCCATTGTATGCAAAGAGAAATGCTCTCAATTCCGTGTTTGAAAGTGGAGAAAATACGTGTCACCTATCCTATAGCTTGTTCCCCACACAGGAAACTCTTTGACGAGGTAAAGTTCATTTATCACCCATCTAGCTCCAAGTATACCTTGTTAATAATATTAAATGTTGGAGAAAAATATACACTCTACATCCATGTCTTTTCTATAAGCCTGGAGATTAATCAGAGAACATGCTCTCCTCAGGATTTTGTCTTAAGTTTTTCAGCTTTGTGGCTCTGTAATTTTTAGGAAATTCCTAGTTTCCCAAAAGTCTGTTTACATCTTTATATATACTTCAAGTTTTATCATTTGGAAGAAGCAGTCAGGCAGGTCAGTCTGAAATTTAACCAGTGTACATTATACTTCACATAAACTGAGCATAAAAGAGCCACTTTGATTTGAAGAAACGCAGGTCATGATTATAGAGAAAGAAATATAGAGTGACACCAGCATAAATCGTGTACATAATTTCATACTAAGTTTAATACAAAAGAAGAGCCCACATTTTTTTCCAGACACATCACACTTCCTTCAAATGATAACTGTATGTGATTAAATGTCTGTGTGTGTGTGTGTTTGGGTGTGGGTATGTGTGTGTGAGACTTTACCATATCTAAAAATGTCTTCATTTAGGAACAATCATTTAGGCTCCTTAAATTATTTAGCCAACTATTCCAAATATTTGTACATGTAGCCAAATTGTTTCATTTTGTCAATGGAACTACTTCAGAGTTCATATGTTTATTCCCGTTAGTGAATCAAACTGTTCCTATCTGTTTACTGTGCAAATGTTCCATTGAATTTACTCCTGCTTGGAAATTACATTCTAGGTACAGACACCATCATACCCCAGTCTCCTTTTGTACTCTTCACTCATTGACCCACTACACTCAAATCCTTCTGAGCATTTTATATCTAAGAAGATTGTTAAAACACACCACATATTCATTAATTTAGACTTAGTTCAACTAAAAAATACTTTTTAATTTATCTACCAGATCTCTCATTATACCGATAAAGCATACAACATGTTTCTTTAAATTTTGATTTATACAGACTTCGATTGTTCACTAATATTGCAATGACTTGACATTCAAATGTTAAGTAGTTATTTATTTGTTCCTACATTATTTCTTTACATTACATGTTTGACTGCAAGACAAGCACAAGACAAAAGAAAATCACTAAATCAATTATGATAAGCTTTATCATAAGCTTAAAATATCAGACTTAATGAGTTAGTGACTGACTATTTTTAAAAAGTGGTCACTGGTATTTCACTGGACTACAGTGGAATTTCATAGGACAGGCAAAACTCAAATACTAAATTAACCTAAATCTGGATGAAATTTAACTATTACTTTATCTAGAGCAGACATGGATATAATAGAAATATAATGGATGTTACCTAGCCCAGGAATTCGTATGCTATTGACTCAAACATTTTATTAAGAAAATAACAATATCATCAATACCCTACTGCTTTGAAGAGATAAACAGGAAAATTTAATGGAAATGCAATATCCCAAAAATATTTCATTTTTTTGTCTTACATGAAACACCAGATATGAAATTATATCTGAAATATCCATTAAATTATGTCTGAAATGAATTTCTATGAAATGAAGATCATGACAGTACCTGCCTGATAAAGTTGTTTTGAATATTAGATGAGACTCATTAAATACCCCCACTGCAAACACACACACACACACACACACACACACACACCGAGTGAAGGGGGGGAATAGAGCCTGGCACACAGTCAATACTCAGGATGATTATTATTGCTACTACTATTATTACTATATTAGTATTCCTATAATTACTATATTCTTACTCTTTTTTGTTTCTTAAATACACATGTAAGGGGTTATATACCAGGGGAGGGAGAAAATGAGATAGCTAGGGAGAGGAAAAGAGGGGCAGGAAGGAAAGGAATGAAAGAAGAGAGATTCAGGATATGATAGAATGTAGCTATGTAAAGCAAAGTACAATATAATGCGTGAATCAGAAGTATATTTTGTACTCACTGTCCAGAAAATTGACTCATTAAGCTAGGGAGAAAGAAACTCACCACACTGAATGAGAATGTTTAGGTCGGCTTCCTCACCCACATGCGCACATGAAAATGAGTGTGAAAGAGCAAATGAAGACTTTGAAATCAAATAATCTGAGCTGCTTACAATCTCATTTTATGCCAGCCATTTGATGTTTTAATTCACCATTTTTTTTGGCCCTTCTAACTTTTCAATTCCATACAATCATTACGGAGTGAGTGACCACATGTCTTCTCCTTGTTACTGCCACCTGATTTAAGGGATTCCTATAATTACTGTCTCCCAAGGAGCTGGGACTACAGGCGCCCACGACCACGCCCGGATAATTTTTTTTATTTTTAGTAGAGACGGGATTTCACCGTGTTAGCCAGGATGGTCTCGATCTCCTGACCTCGTGATCCGCCCGCCTCGGCCTCCCAAAGTGCTGGGATTACAGGCGTGAGGCACCGCGCCCGGCCCATCCTGTTTCTTTAGCATATGGATATGATGATGTATGTTCCTGAAATGTTCCTGTAACCATTTCATAGGGACAAAACTCAAGGGATTAAGGAGCCGAAGACTGTCTGCTACCAGGCAATTTCCTGTTGATCACCAATCACAAAAGCTGCCCTGATTGGCCAAAATCAACACTTGCTTCTTATGAAGAAATTAAAAATGATGCTTGTTTTAAGGGAAATGCTTCAACATCGGTCTCAGAAAAGATTTTATCTCTAAGACTTCAAGGGCACAGGCAACAAGATAGAAACACACAAATGGGGCTACATTAAACTAAACACCTTCTGCACAGAAAAGAAAACATTCATCTCAATGAAAAAACACCCTGCAAAATTGAAGAAAATATTTGCAAATTATTCTTCTGACAAAAGATTAATATATAGTATATGCGAGGAACTCAATAGCAAATAAAACCCCATAATCCAATTGAAAATAGGTAAATGATCTAAATACCCATTTCTCAGAAGAAGACATAAAAATAGCCAAATATTTGAAAAAATGTTCAACATCACTAATCATAAGGGAAATATAAATCAAAACCAAAATGACATATAATTTCACTGCAATTAGAGTGGTCATTATCAAAAAAGACAAAAAATAACAAATGCTGGTGAGGATGTAGAGAAAGAGACATCTTATACAGTGTTGATGGGAATGTAAATTAGTATAGCTATTATAAAGAACACTATGAAACTAAAAATATAGATCTATCATATGATCCAGCAATTCAACTACTGGGCATATATCCAAAGGAAAGGAAATTAGCCTATTGAAGGGACATCTGTACCTCAATGTTTAGTGCCACACTGTTCACAATATCCAAGATATGGAATCAACTACATGTTCATCAACCAATGAATAGTTAAAGAAAATGTGGTATGTATACACAATGGAATACTATTCAGTCATAAAAAGAATAAAATCTTGTAGTTGGTGGCAACATGGATGAGCCTGGATGACATTATGTTGAGTTCAATAAACCAGGGCACAGAAGGATGTATACTACATGTTCTCATTCATATACAGAAGGTTAAAAAACCTGATCTCATAGAGGTAGAGAGTAGAATGGTATTTACTCGAGGCTGGGAAACACGAGGGCCTAAGAGAAGAGAGAGAAGTTGCTCAATGAGTACAAATTTATAACTATGTTGGAAGAATAAGTTCTAGTGTTCTATAGCACTCTAGGATGATTATCGTTAATGATAATTTTTTCTATCTTTTCAAATAGCTAGAAGAAAGGATTTTCAATGTTCCCAACACACACACACACACACACACCCCCTAAATGTTTAAGGTGATTAATATGCTAATAACCCTGATTTGATCATTAAACTTTGTATGTATCCAAATATCACTCTGTACCCCATAAATTTGTACAAGAATTGTGCATCAATTAACTTTTTAAATCCTTGTTTAATGTTGAAGTCCCTACTGACCAGGTCTCTGTTACTGATGATAGAACTGAATTCTCTCTTATTATGCACTTAATGCTGTCAGAAAAAAGAAAACGATTTTCTTATTATAGTGCAGGTGATTGAAAAAAACTGAGATGATTTCTAGAAATTAGGGAAATGTCTTTTGTGTGGGAGTTAGCAGGCTATTTAACTCTGTTACCTGTTCTACCACAGAACACAAAGCAAAGTCCAGCAAGTGTGAGATGAACCAAGCTAGAGTTAGCAGAGATGAGAAAATAAGCTTTGCTGATCAAATATTTCTCTGTCTGAAACATGAAATAGATATCACCCAAGCCTAATACTTAGAAGCCTCGAAGGACTGAAAACATCAACTGCATATGGGGTGTGTGCGCCTGACAAGGAAATGACTCCGTGGCTCAAGCCTCATCAAGCACTTTTCCTTGAGAACGCTGCAGAATACAGGGGGCATCTTGCTTGTCACAAAGAATCAAGCTAGTTTGTTCCCACTAAAGTCTATTGTTGAAACCATTCTCAGTGTAGCCACATTTAACTAATGTTGGGAGCAATCAAGAGATTAAAAACTCTATCTTAGCAGTAGATTTTGACTGATAGTGGTCTCAAATGGAAATGAATAAATGCCAGCTATGTTTTTGAAACACCAGTACTGCCAAAGGAAACCTAAGTCTGGTTGTACCACTCTGAATTTGTGTGTTGTAGAACTGTAAGTAACCCCTAGACCATTGAGACTGCAGTAGAAGGAATTTGGCCACAAATTGTATGCATCAATGTACAATCTCCAATTTCCCCTAGAGATCAAAAAAGCAATAGCATTATGCTGAGGGAAAGAAAATTCAATCCAAAGGCGATGTCAAGGTTAAAAGACCACAGTGGACAAACAATCTTTTCAGAGGCCAAAATAAGGGGTATATAACAAGTTAACCTATATGACTTCTCCACTGGCAGCAGAGAAACTCTTTACCATTGCTATCAGTCAAAGATCTTTGGATTATCGTGTGTTAATGTAGTAAATTTCAACTGGGTGTACAACTATTTAGTCAACTATTATCTTACTTGTTACATTTATATTACCTTTCAGTTTTTAATAGTAAAAATAATATAATAAGTAACATTGAGTTTCCAAATTTTTATATTTAAATCAAAACTAAAATTCTATGCTAAAGATAATGTTTATATTTATTTTAAGTTATTTCAAATAATTTTAAATGGTGTTTCATTTATCTAAATAAAATGGCATGATTTAATTTGCTTTATTGAATAAATATGTGAAAATCAAGCCTACTACAGGCATATCTTAAAGTTCTATACTAAATTCACTTTAGTACATTATGTATGTATGCAGATTATATTAGAATGTTACACATTTTGTGTTCAGAATTTACAGAAGAAATATATTGATGAGAAAGAATCATTGAAGAAGGCAAATGAGTTGATCTGGGAATAGAAAACCTAGTACAGTAGTCTGTGATAATCGTTTGCTACCCTTAATGCATCTATTAGATTTTATATTGGCGGAATCTTCAATCTACTGTAATTCCAGTATGTTTTACTCAAAGTATTTAGCACCCGCTTTTATAGGATAGAAACACAAAAATTATAATGACAATTAAGTTAATTCCCTGCCTCAAATTTCTCCCTGTATAAATCCATTTCAGTCCTAACACTAGATTCCTCTTTCTGTAACCACAACTTTGCATTTGCAGACATTCTGCTAGGTCACATTCTTTTAAATTTAAAAAAAATTCATAAAATTTGCCTACATTTAGTTCTAATTTCCAGTGAAGCTGAAGTATTTATATTTATATAAATTGAGCTATTCTGCATCTTTTTCATAAGTTGGATTATTTCTTGCACATAAACACTCTTCCCCAGCACTTCTAAGGGCTTCAATTTCTTCCATTCTCCCAAGATTTTACATGTAAATCTTCCCTCCATGGAGACTTTCCTGTTCTCTTAAAGAGGATGACTCTCTCCCCCTCAGAATCTGCTCTGTCAGAACATCATGTTTAATCTACAGTTTAGCTGCTTATGTTTATGTGGACCGTCTGCTCCTTCCTGATGAGGGCTGACTGCAGGTGTACCCTAGCGCGCTCTGAACAAAACCTGCGCCTTCCTATGTGACCTGACCCTGAAGTCCTCCCGGGGTACCCATCTCCCACCACATTTGACCTTACCACGTTCCGCTCCGCACAGGACATTCCAGGCAGGGCCTTTCACATTTAGCACACTGGGCTCAACACCCCTTCCTCCCTCATGGTGTCCAGCTGCTGTTCATGCTACTCAGATGTTTGTTTCAATGTCATGTCCTTGAGAGTGACTCAGAGGCATTGGGTGATACTCAGTTCAGCGATTTCCTTCCGATTAGCTGACAGTTTACAGGGAGAAGGGGATATGTGATTTGAAAGGAGCAAGGAAAAGGATGAAAGACAACTTCCCAGTTGGAAGTCCTGTAGCATGTGGCTTGTGGGAGAGAAAACGGCCACCCTTTCATAGGGCACCATGAGGACTCATGTCCCTAGGGGATGCCTGAGAAAAAAGTGAGGAGAACCTGCAGCAATACCTTGTGTGAAGGAGGAAAACCATGTGACAACATCTTGAACACTAGTAGAAGAAATGATGGCGATTTCAAATGAGTGTGCATGTGTATATGTGTGGGGTGGGGGCAGGTGCTCACTGAAACACTATGAAAACTAGCTCTTTCCTGAGTGCAAGCTTTTTAAAGTCAGGCAATTGGATTCAGGTCTGTATAAAAGTGGATAGTGAATTTTACCCCAATAAGCTTGTCTCCATTTTTTTAAAAAAATGAGAATGAACACTGAGCCAATTCTGGAAGGTTATGGTTATAACTAAAATAATAAAATGAAGGTGAAATATTAAGCAAAATACAGTTGCAAATTAAGTACTAAATGAATGAGAGGTATTTGTGTTTATTACTGTTATTATAGTTATTTCATAAGAAGTTATACTCTACTCCATCTAGGCGAGGGTTAAACCAATTCACTTCATGTTTCTGAAAGAATATGGAAGTTGGCTATTTGATGAAATTACCCTATGATCAAATTATGCCTATGTTTATAGAAATAAACCAGGTTTAAAGTGTAATAAATTGGCTTTAGATACCCTAAAGCACAACCTGCAGGCCCGGGGTAAATGCCTCAACCAGGCTTTCTTCCACAATCCCCAGGGGCCGCCACTTCCACAGTACTGCAGGGACCTGCCAACCTGGATCTCACTGGCTCCTGCTCCCTGAGAGCGTCTGCTCTACATTCCTCTGCTCCTTATTTCAAGAAAAGAAAAAGTTGTGAAGGAGAAGATTGAGACTAAAAAAAAGCAAAGTAAAAAAAAAAACAGTCTCTAAGTATGTGAAATTATTGTATTACAATTGATTTTTGGATTTAATTTTTTGTTTTTGGAGATCACATGAGTATATATTTATAAATAAATTGATATAGAAATAAACGTATGTTTATGTTTGTTTCCTTCGTAAAATCAGCAGTCTCTTCAACATGCCAAATTTCTTGCCTGAAAATTACTGCATCTATATAATCATTTACCTGTAAAGGAGTGAAAGACATGCCATTCCCCAAATACCAAATTGGAATATTGATTACTTCGAATTAAAAACATAGGAGCAATGGTTATTTCAGAAAGGGCCAGCTGATCATTCTCTTCCTACATGTGCGAAGCCATAGAGATTCCTCGGGAGGTGCACCCTCCATGTACCAGCTGAGAAAATAGCCCTTACACCAGACACTGGGATCCGGGGGTGCAATGGATCAGAATGAATATACTTAGCGAAGTAACCCTTCTACGAGTTTTACTCCCCTTCACATACATCCTAATGACTCACCTAGAAATGTACTGCTGTTACCCCATCCCCTTTGTCCTGTCACGTCTTCTTAAATTTATCATTCTTTCTCGAGAAAATATAAAATTTCTCTCTTTGGCCACTTCCTCAGATTTCATGCTCTTGTGAAGAAGCCCCTGTATATGTAAAATTAATAAAATCTGTGTGTTTTTAGTGGCATCATTCCTCCAGTGAAGTGGGATGTTCTGTTACAACTCATAATTAAAACAAACAGATTTATAGCTTTAAGCAGAATGCAGGAGGTGGAAGAGATGTACTAAATACCTGGTTTAATAAAACAGCAAATCTTGAGGCATTGAATGATAACACATGTGTCAGGAAATATAATAAAAAATAACCCAATATATGATTTTATTTCCAAAATTCCAAGTAGCCCTATGAATGCCATAGATTGCCTATTAGTTAATGACCAAGTTGTTTTCGCTTTGGAAGCATATACAGATTTTTTTTTCCAAAAACTGAAGTAGACAGTTTACATCAATAGGCAATAGATAATAAGCTAACGCAAGAGGCCTCAACATTATTAGTCATCAGGAAAATGCAAATTAAAAGCAAACTGAGTTCCTACTACACTCAGAAGAATTGCTAAAATGAAGAAAACATCGACATTTGGAGCAACAGGAACTTGTGTGCATTGTCAGCGGCAGTATAAGAGTAAACAACCACTTTGAAAACAGTTTACTGAAGAGTTCACCAGACACCTACCAAGAAAAATAAAAACATATGATTACAAATAGGAGATTAACATACATTTCAGTCACCAGAACTTCAAACTGAAAATAGCCCAGATGTCCATCAGCAAAATAATGGATAAACAAATGATGAAATTTTCAGAAAACAAAATACTACTTAGCAGTAAAAAAAAGCAATGTAACAATGAGGTAAAAATGTGGAGGGATTTTAGAAATACATTAAGCTGAAAGAAGGAAACAAGATTCAAGACCATACTATTTGTTTCCTTTGATGTGAAATTTTAGAATAGCCCAAACTAACGAACAGAGATAAAAATTAGAGCAGTGGATGTATCTTAGGCCTGGGGTATCACTGGAAAAGGGCCTGCAGGACCTTTCTGAGGTGGTGAAAATGGTGTCTCTTCCTAATGGGTGAATTACCAGGGTAGATATTTGTGGAAATTAGTTGAAAAGGAACATCTTAAATGCGAGCATTCTACTGTGTGTAAGCTACACCTCAATTTGAAACAAATGGCAACAACTTTCAAAACTGCTTGAATGGTTAATTCATTCTTTGAACAAAAAATTATTGTGAGGTATGATGTAAAACCATCTTACTAAGGATTAGTGAGTTCACCGATTTTTAACAATCCATGATTTGATTGGGTAATGATAGCTGAGTAAATGAACCCGAGGAATGAAGATTCATCTGCAATTCAAAGCAACACACAAACACACACACACACAGAGACAACAGATGTAGAAATAAAAGTGTATATTCCTTATTTCTAGGAAATTCCACACAAACACTTTGCACAGTTTTGAATGTTGGGGCAAATATATAGTCTTATTCACGACTTAAGGCCACACACCGACCCATACACCTTGTCAGGGCTCCCTTCACCTCACTGTTCTTCACACTGTAGATGAGGGGGTTTAGTAAAGGGGTGAACATAGTATAGAAGGCTGACACAACCTTGTCGTGGTTAGTGGACCTGTGGGATTTGGGTCTCATATAGGTAAAAATGGCAGCTCCATAAAAGAGTCCCACCACAGCCACATGTGAAGAGCAGGTGGCAAAGGCCTTCTTGCGGGCTTCTGTAGAGCGCATGTGCAGAACAGCAGCGAGGATGAGACCATAGGAGGACAGGATGAGGGAAAAGGGGACCAGGAGCATTAACACACAGCAGATGTACATGGCGTTTTCGAAGACTGAAGTGTCAGCACAAGCCAAACGCACCAGCACGGGGGTCTCGCAGAAGAAGTGATCGATCTCGTGTGCACCGCAATATGGGAAGCTCAGGGTAGCAACAGCCTGCAGGAGCCCGTCAGCTGCACCCAGGAGCCAACACGACAGGTTCATCCTCAGGCACAGCTGCCAGCTCATGAGAGTGGGATATCGGAGTGGGTGGCAGACAGCCGCATAGCGGTCATAGGCCATGGCTGCTAAGAGGAAGCACTCTCCACCACCCAGTGTGGGGAGGAAGAAGATCTGCGCACCACAGCCAGCGCGGGAGATGGCCTTACTTCCGGTCAAGTAGTCAGCCGCCATTTTGGGCACAGTGGTGGAAACCAGCATCACGTCCATGAGGGAAAGTTGGCTCAGGAGGAAGTACATGGGCGTGTGGAGCCGGTGGTCCCAGTGAATCAGGAGAATCATGAGGGAATTGCCAAACAGGGAGGTCAAAACGATACTCAGAACCATCATGAAGAGGACTTGGTGGGCTCTGGTGTGGTTAAAGAGTCCTAGGAGAATGAAATAAGAGGTATAGCTCCCATTTTCCATGATTTCAAATAAGAGTGACACTGCAAATGGAGAAAAAGAAGACAGAGTGTTTATCCTTTATGGTACTCCATTTGAGTTACGTAGTAAAAAAATAGAAAAGTACTTGTGTGAAAGCGATGAAACCTATGTCAAATCTTTCATTTGCCACTTGCAAAATGTTCTAATTTGTGCATAAAATTAATTAAACTTTTTCTCATTTCCAAGGATTTCATAATAAATGCTTCTCAGGCTAAGTATTGATTAATTTTATATCACAAATCCACGTTCTGGATAAGTTGCAAGTAACCTGTCAGAATGGTTTTGCTTTATCTGGTACCATCATAAGTGAGTGAGAATGAAATGATTCACATAATTTGTCACTTTATTTGTGCTTGAGTTACATCATGCATAGTCAATATTTTAGAAGCTGAATTAAGTCAGTATATTTCATTATATAAAACTACATCCTTGACTGTGAAGGTTGTGGGTCTATAACATATCAAAACTCATTGAAACCTACCAAAATCAGGCAGTTTTCCCTGACTTAATCCAAGAAGACTTTTTTTCCTTTCTAAAGAGGGTGACTTATATTCTCAGGTCTGGAAAGGCTGAGTCTGCAGATGAAAACATAGTTAATTTGGAGTTGTGAACACATTTAGTCCTCCTTTATAGGTGATAGACTGAAAACAGTACTGACCTTCTTGGATATTTTTTATTTCTTTGCAGTGTAAGAGTATAATGGTAAACACACATTTTCATTAACTGTACAAGGTACTTTGTTGCAATGAGACTTTTTCTCATCAGTCCACAAGTATAACCTTTACCAGGTAAAGGAGAAAAAAGAAAACTAAGATCTTTATCCAATCACAGAGATAAATTAATGTCTTCTTCAGTCTCAAGAGAAATGAAATCTTTATAGACATTTTCATCTTAGATCTGCTGGTGCAGGAAGTTTTCTACCTTGTTGAATAAATGTCGCCACACCTGCAGAGGTATTGATGCTGATTCAATCTCAAGGATATGGTCTAATTCAATAAAGTTATATGGCAGAAGGAGCCCATCTCTTCCATGCGCATTCCCTTTGCCTCCACTTTTTGTATCCACCCTAAACTAAAATGCCAGTCACGACTGGGAAAGGCAGTGCAGTTGCGTCAGTCAATACCAGAGTGCATTACTTGAGCATCATAATTGTACGGGCAGCACAATACCTGAGGGTTTTATTTGGTTGTTTAAAATTTAAACATCATGGAAATATACATATGTCCTTCTTGACAAATAAATTCTGCATTTGACAAAACTTTGTGATCTTCACACCTTCGTATCTCTAACATGCTCTATTTTTTTCTTTTTACTTCTTAGAAAATGCAATAACATGTACTTTCTACACGTAGGAACTATACAAAATCTCTAATTACAGCCCTTAGTGTCACTTTGCTGAAAGACCTCAAAACCCTCCTGACTCATTTCTTTCACTCGATATCTTCCATTTCTCCGTTTTCCCAACCTTCCTTAGTGTTGAAGCTTGATCAACTTTAAATATCTTTTAAAAAATCAGTCTGTAATGTCATAACTGTAGGGTGTTGGACAAGTTTCTTAAATTATTTTTTCTATCATATTAAATATTTTTAAGGCACAATCAGTACAGTGGCTTCAAGTATAATCATATTGTTGTATGACCATCCACAATATCCATCTATGAATCTCATTTCACCTCCCTAAATTGAAATTCTGTACCCACTGTGAAATAACTCCCCATTCTTCTCACACACAGCCCCCAGCAACCACCATTCTATTTTGTGTCTCTATAAATTTGAGTGTTTTAGAAACCTCATATAAATGGAATCATGTGGTATTGTGTGTGTGTGTGTGTGTGTGTGTGTGTGTGTGTGTCTGTGACTGGCTTATTTCACTTATCATAATGTCCTCAAGGTTCATCCCATGTGTCAGAATTTCCTTCCAAAGGGTGAATACTATTTCATTATCTGCATATATAACAGTTTGTTCAATTATCCAGTCATAGCCATTAACGTTGCTCCCACTCACTTCAGCTGTATGTTTAAGTATCATTTTAATGGAATGTTTCACGACAGATGTTAGTTTTTTTTATTTTGGTAAGGTAAACATATATAGCATAAAAATATAGCAATTGCAATTAATTAGCCGCTTAAATTGTGCCAGACTGGTTCATATGTTTTCAGAGAATAATCTCAACAACTTGCATGACTTTTCAGTTCAGGAAATACATTTTCTTATTATGAAGTTCCTACTATGGTTAAATAGTTTGTAAAATTTGATGTCATTAGCTTGTACCTTTTCAGTGAAAATAGATAATATTTCTATTCTTTATGTTTATGTGGAATAAAAATTCTTTATTTCCAGGTGTATAAAAATTATCAGTTTGTATCAGTCTAACTGGTCATCATGCCATAGCATTCAGATTATTTCACGAAATGATTAATTAAATGTGTTAAATAAAATTAGTAGATAACTGTATTTTTCTACGATGTGATAATATTAAATTATTTGCTTTATTGAAATTACTGTCTATATTTTTATGTTACAAAGCTAAGATAATTTGCCACTAATTAAAATGTTTATAAACCTACAAAAATGATTATTTGGGATAATTTTTTTTAAAAATTGGCCATGGATACAAAGAACAGTTAAATGAAAAATGAAGAATTAAATAATCTTGCTAATAAAATGTCTATAATTTCATTTAACAGAGGGTTGAAAATTCAAGATTGACTAGTGTAGAAAGAAGTATGATAAAGTATTACCCTGAAAAATAAATATTTTCCTTTTCTTTCTTCACTATAGCTTAGAAAGCTAGAGAATTTTGAACTATATTTTCTTCTGTCCCCATAGTTTCTTACTTAGAATGGTGATAAAATGTGGACATTTTTACTTTAAATCACACTGATCTCTTTTGCAATGCTAGTAGAAGGCACGTATATATCCCTTCCTTTTTTCTCATCAATAATTCGTCAAGTAATCACAGAACACTGAGAACAATGCCTCTAACATTCCATTCTGTGCTTTTCTGATCCCTGTTGCCAAAACTTAATAGTAAAACTGTAACTCTCCTCCCCATGATACTAAAATGATTAATCAATTTGTCCTGTCAGAAAATAAATTGGAAACAGCCAAATCATATATTTGACAAAATTGACAGGTTATTACAGGAATTTAACCTGATGACTGTGTCAGCTAGCAACTTTTGATTCTTCAGGTTGTAGAATGGATAATAGAATTTTATTTGTAAAATACGTAAAGATATATAGCTGTGAATTATCTAGAGTTCAAACTTTACAGGAAAATTATTAAATATTAAGTGATTAGTATTTACAGAATCACAGATTTTCTACTTACAGAAGATAAAAGTGATGACTCCTCCCAAAAGGCTGGATCCTGTCTGAGCAGCATCGAGAAAAGCTCTTCCAGCCTGGCTGTGTTGGCTTCACTTGTATCAGTGTCTACAGTCTACTGTTTAGGGGTGTGACCTAAATCAACTCTGATTAATAAACCAGAGAGGCATGAGCTTGCCACTTTGGCTGCCAAAGATGTTTAATTTTCAGGGACATTTTATAAATACCCATAATTTTAATATACTTCCAAAATGCTTTTGGAAAGCTGCGATTTATTGAAAGAAGAGAGAATTATTTAGGAGCAAAAATGAAATGTAAATAGATGTGCATGGAAAAGATGATGTTGAAAAATACATTAAGGGGCGAGGTAATGTGGCTCTGGCGTTACTTGTGTGTAGTTTAATAGGATGGGAAGATTAAACAGTGTGATATTGAAAGACCAGCTCTTGTCAAAGAAAGTAGTTGAAATAAAAAGAAACCGTGGTAGAATCCATGGTAGTTTCCTTATTGAACTAAACTTGACAGAATCTCTGCTGCTTTATAAGTATCAATATTTTTGCATCTGTGTGATATAATTGTATTTTTTAATATTTTGTGTGTTTGTATCTATGTAATAAAATCAGTGATAGCAACAATAGTAACAACAGATTGTATTCACTGTGCCAGGCAGTTTGCGGTTTGATTTTATCTGGGGCTGCCTTCTATGATTGTGTTATTTGTTCTTAATATTTTCTACTGTCAAGCACCCTTGGGATCCTGGCTCCAGCTTTTGCAAGTTTAGTGGACTCAGGCTTCACTGCCAGTATATATAAATCTCAGCCTCCAAAACTGTAAAAAAAAATATATTTAAACAAAATTTCTCATGGAATAGATCATGGGGAAAGCTGCTCCTAGACAAAACGTGAGATATTGTAATTGCTTATTCCAAGTGAAGTTGTAATCACCATTGTTTGTGTTTAGAAGGCAAGCCCATCATAGATTTTAGTGACACCTCTGCCTTTGCATGTTGTATCTTACTGAAGTGGCTAATCCTACTCTGATTTAGAATGTTATTGATCACATGCAGTCTACAGTTAAAGTCAGGTTATCTTATTTCCTGTGGAAAAAAACAAATTCCTGGCTGAGTGCAAGCAGTAGGTTGTAGATATTTAGTATATCAAGTAACAAATAAAACTTTCAATGAAAGTTTACCTATCACTTATGATAAAAGTTTTATCTTTCCATGTTCTGAACACTGATGTCTCTGGGGTCCCAGGAGTATCAATACAATGGTGTAGTAACACAGGTGGCTACTGTCCAATGGGGGAAGTAGCCTTTTGCCTTAAGTAGATAAATCTCTCTGAAGGACTCTAGGGTGTGTGAGAATTAAGGCCAGACAAGCTGTGAGTCAGATGAGAAAAAGATGTATGTACTGCCCAGAGCTCCACAGAAAAACGGAAAGGACAGCGATGCTGGGTAGCTGAGTTGAGATTAACTACTATGTGGCACAATTTACGAAAACCAAAGAGAGGCTATGCTGAGTCCCTACACCACCAAGACCGTGATGTTCTGCCCACTCGCCTCCTGATGGCCTGTGGGGATAGACCAGCTTCCAGATTTCACACAGATGGGCTGTATGGAGGAGGCCACCTCCAAGGTGAACCTGCCAGAGGGCAAAGTCAAGAATCCACAGACCAGCAAGCCTGAGCAGGAGAAATAATTATCACTCAGAAATTCCTGAAAAAAAGACTGAGATGGAGACTTCGACATTCAGGAAGCTGACCAAGGAGAGTTCCTAGTGTCAATTCCTGTGGCATTAATGAAGCAAAGTTGGGCACTGGGAGAAGATGAACTGTGATGTAGTCACAACTACAGTCTTGGCTACTCCTTGGATGAACTGTGAGATTAACCTTCCATGTTGCCTTGTAGTAGGGCAGGTGGCCCCGCGTTTGTGTTCCCACAGGAGCATTGATTGCATGTGGCTGCCCCCAGGAAGAGAGCATAAGCTTGGGTGAGGCAGTTTACCTCAACTGGGAACAGTGACTTGAGAAGGACTTAGCTGAGAGCTGTCACATACTAATTCTCCTGGCAGCTGGGGGAACAAGTACTTCAGTGCTCAAGTGGGAAGGGGAGTGTGGAGAGCACATGACACTGTATAATGTACATTACACTGCATGAGCCAAACTCGATCAGAATTCAGTATGAAGGGAGCCCCAGTGCTATTCACACAGATGTGTTCTTGTAGCACAGAGCAGGGGGGCAGTCACATGGAGTGCAGGTATAGACGACATCTAGAAACAATGACCAAGGCACTAAAATATGTTTGCCTGGAAGTTCTAGTTCCAACTGAAAGGCACAAGTTGGTTTGGAATTTGCCAACTAGGAATATGCTGGCCTGAGGAGCTGAAATGGAAACAGCTTCCCTCTCTTTCTGACCAGGCACTCCCTTGCACCACACACACTTATCTTACTGTATGCTTGTTAAGAGATTCTAGGGACTAATTTTGAAACCAGCCAGGCATGGAGACCCAGTGGCAAATTCTCTCCCTCTGAAAGATGACCTCAAGATGAATAATCTGCAGCCCAGCCACACTTGAGATGGTGCCAGTTGGCACTCTAGGTGGACAATAACTCAAGATAGCCATTGCAAAAAGACACGCAGACCCTACACTCTGCATAACCCCTGCATACCTCCCACACCACGTTTCCCTTTTTAAGCCCCTGCCCTCAGCTCAAAGCTTTGAGATGGGTTTTTTTGTTTTGTTTTGTTTTTGAGGCTTGAGGCAGCCCATCTCCCATCTCCTAGCAATTGAAAAATAAAACTGCTTTCCTGTCACTCCATCCTACTTCTTTTGCAGTTTGCTTCTAGGTGGTGAGCAGCTGGACTTGCATACAGTTCCAGAAATAGAGGAGGTCTAAATGTACTTTCTACAACATTAAGTCTATAATTTAGTGAAGAGAATTCTCAGCAAAGAAAAACAAAAGAACTAAATAAAAATGTAAAAGCCAAAAAAGGCAGACCAAATAGTAATAATAAAAAAAAAATCCTCACTGTAGTTCAGTGTAATAACAAAATAAAGAAGACAGGTGGAAGTGTTGGCAAACTTAAAGATAAACAAATAGGAATTACATAATCTAAATATAATGAGGAAAAAAGATTGAAAGGGTAATGAAAAGAGCTTCAGGGTCCTGTGGGACAATAACAAGACAATTTTTGTCATTACATGTAATTTAAAGCTTGTCATGTAATTTTGAGTATGCATCCCATTTATTATTATGAACTGCCCATAGTTAGCCTGAATCATTTTTCTTGTGTGAAGTATGCAGCTAATTCGTGGTCTTAGCATAACAAATCTCCCTCTATTATTTATTATCTATGTGAATCTTTATATGTAACGTGTGTTTGCACTAGAATAATTCATCATTCTTATGTATTTTGGGGCATAGTACCTGATAGATAGTTTTTGATCCTCACCCTCCTCCCACCTACTACCCTCCAATAAGCCCTGGTGTTTACTTTTACCTTCTTTGTGTCCATGTGCACTCAGTGATTAGCTGCCACTTATGAGTGAGAACATTCTGTATTTGGTTTTCTGTTCCTGTGTTAGTTCACTAAGGACAATGGCCTCCAGCTGCATCCATGCAGCTGCAAAGGACATGATTTTGTTCTTTTTTGTGGCTGTGTGGTATTCCATGCTTTATATGTATGAGATTGGTGCAAAAGTAATTGCGGTTTTTGCCATTGAAAGTACTCAGTCATGGGATTGCTGGGTTGAATGGTAGCTCTGTTTTCAGTTTTGTGAGAAATTTTCAAATTGTTCCACGGTGGCTTAACTAATTTGCATTTTCACTAGCAGTGTATAAGCATTCCCTTTTCTCTGCAACCCTCCCAGCATCTGTTGTTTTGATTTTTTTTTTTTACTTTCTAATAATAAATAGCCATTCTGACGGGTGTGAGATGGTATCTCATTGTGGTTTTCATTTGCATTTCTCTAATAATTAGTGATAAGCATTTTTCCATATGCTTGTAGACCACACATATGTCTTGTTTTGAGAAGTGTCTGTTCCTGCCCTTTGCCTATTTTTTAATGGAATTCCTTTTTTTGGCTTGTTGATTTGTTTAAGTTCCTTATAGATTCTGGATATTAAACCTTCGTTGGACACATGGTTTGCAAATTTTTTCCCATTCTCTACATTGTCTGTTTATTCTGTTTATAGTTTCTTTTGCTGTTAGAAGGCCTTTAGTTAAATTAGGTCCCACTTGCCAATATTTATTTTTGTTGCAATTGCTTTTGGAGTCTTCCTTGCGAAACCTTTGCCAAGGCCTATGTCCAGAATGGTATTTCCGTAGGTATTCTTCTAGAGTTTTTTTATCTTTAAGTTTTACATTTAAGTCTTTAATCCATCTTGAGTTGATTTTTGTACATGGTGAAATAAAGACATCCAGTTTCAATCCTCTGCATATGGCTAGCCAGTTATCCTGAAGTCTGTATTGAACAGAAAATCCTTTCCCCATTGCTTGTTATTGTCGACTTTGTCAGATCAGTTGGTTATAGGTGTGCAGCTTTGTGTCAGGGTTTTCTAAGCTGTCCCATTGGTCTATAAGTCTGTTTTTGTACCAGTACCATGCTGTTTTGGTTACTGTAGCCTTGTAGTACAGTTTGAAATCTGAGAGTGTGATTCCTCCAACTCTTTTCTTTTGGCTTGAGATTGATATGGCCATTCGGTTAGTTTTGACCTTTCAGTTAGTTTGGTCATTAGATTAGTTTTTTCTAATTCTGTGAAAAATGACATTGGTACTTTGGTAGAAATAGCATTGAATCTGTAAATTGCTTTGTACAGTATGGGCATTTTAACAATATTAATTCTTCCTATGTAGAAGCATGGAATGTTTTTCCATTTATTTGTGTCATCTCTGATTTATTTTGGCAGTGTTTTGTAACTGTCATTACAAAATGCAAAATCCCAGCATTTTGCATTCATCATATAATTGACCTTCCAAACAACGTTATGAAAGTGTGCTTTCTACTATCCTATATACAACCTCAGGAGTTACTTTAAGTTAATTTTGGAAGAAATGTAGAAGAAAAGAAAAACAAAGAAAGGAAAGAAACCCTTGGAATCTTTCTACTGGGCTACCATAAATAAGGACAATCATTCAAATTTTGGCTCAAGAAATAGAAATAAATTTTCATTGAGTAGTTTCTTCTCTACCATGTAGCTAATTGTCACGCATTAAGATCTTCTCAATTTAGAGACTCAGTCTGAAGCCATATGAGGCGATTTATGTAAGCAACTTACATTGTCAGTTCCACATTCTTCCTTCCTCATTGAGTTTATTTATGAGACTGAATTAATTAAATCACAAATTAAAATAAGAAACTTCAAGAATAGCACTTACATGATTTCTTCTAATTTAAAATGTATTCTTTGGCCGGGTGCAGTGGCTCACGCCTGTAATCCCAGCACTTTGGGAGGCCGAGGCGGGCAGATCACGAAGTCAGGAGATACAGACCATCCTGGCTAACAGGGTGAAACCCCGTCTCTACTAAAAAAAAATACAAAAAATTAGCTGGGCGCGGTGGTGGGCACCTGCAGTCCCAGCTAATTGGGAGGTTGAGGCAGGAGAATGGCGTGAACCCGGGAGGCGGAGCTTGCAGTGAGCCCAGATCGCACCACTGCACTCCAGCCTGGGCCACAGAGTGAGACTCTGTCAAAAAAAAAAGAAGAAAGAAAAAGAAATAATATCACAGGGTGTTGTAATATCATCCCCTTTCCATCTGGATATTAGAAACAATATCACAGAGGGGTTGTACACCTTTTGCGATATTACAGTAATATCATCCTCTACCCTCCTGGATATTAGGAACATCATCACAGGGGAGACGTACAGCCCCTGCAATATTGGGAATAATATTATCCTCCCTTCCCCTGGATATTGCGAACATTATCAACGTGAGGGTGTACACACCCTGCGATATTAAGAGTGATATCATTTCCTCACGCCCTGGATATCAGGAACAATACAACAGGGGGGTACACCCCCTTCGATAGTGGGAATTGTATCATCCTTTTCCCCCGTGGATATTACAGAGGCGGTGTACACCCTCTGCGACATTGGGACTAATATCATCCCGTCCCCCCCGGTTATAAGGAACAATATAAGAGGGGGAGTGTACAGCTCCTGCGATATTGGCAATAATATCATCCTCTCCCCCCGTGGATATTAGGAATACTGTCATAGGAGCGGTGTACACCCCCTGCAATATTGGAAGTATTATTGTTTTTTCGCCTGGATATTAGAAACAATATCCCAATAAATATTGTTTGTAATATCCAGGGGGGAGAGAAGGGTGATATTACTCCCCATATCGCGGGGTGTGTATACCCTTCTGCAATATTGGGGTAATATCATCCTCTCGCCCCCTGGATATTAAAAACAATATCACAGGAGGAATGTACACAGCCTGTGATACTAGGAATAATATCCTCTCATTCTTTGGATATTAGGTACAATATCACAGGGGGTGTACATGCTCCGCGAGACTGGAAGTAGTATCATCCTCTCTTTCCCTGAATATTACAAACAATATCACAGCAGGGCATACACCTTCTGCGATACTGAGAGTAATACCAACCTCTCCCCTGCTGGATATTACGAACGATACAAGAGGGTGGTGTACACATGGGGTGTTCAGGATATTGGGAGTAATATCATCCTCTTTCTCCATGAATATTACGAACAATGTCAGAGGGGGGTGTACAGCCCCTGATATTAAGAGTAATGTCATCTTCTCCTACCCTGGATATTAAGAACAACATTAAATGAAGGTGTACACTCCCTGGGATATTGGGAATAATATCATCCTCTTTCCTTCTGTATATTACGGACAATATCACAGGGGGGTGTATATCCCCTGCAATATTGCAAATAATATTATACTCTCCCACCCTTAATATTACCAACACTATCACAGGAGGGTGTACACCCCCTGTGATATCAGGACTAATGTCATCGTCTCCCCACCTTGGATATTACAAACAATATCACAGGGGGGTGTACACCCCTTGCGATATTAAGAGTAATATCATCATCTCCCCCTCTGGATATCATCGTCTTCCGCCCCCCGCCCCCCCGCCGGATGTTAGGAAAATATCAGAGGGTGGTTGTACAGCCCCCTGCAATATTGAGAGTAATATAATCCTCTTTCCCTGGATATTAGAAACAATATCACAAGGGGGTATGTACACTCCCCACAATATTGGAGGTAATATCATCCTCTTTCCTCATCACCTACTGTGATATGTTTCATAATATCCAGTGAGGGAGAGAAAGGTGATATTTCTCCTTATATCGTGGGGGCGTACACACCCCTGTGATATAGATTGTAATATCTAGAGAGGGAAGAAGAATTATATTACTCCCCATATTGCGGGGGTGTCCACCTCCCTGTGATATGGTTCATAATATCCAGTGGGAGAGACATGATATTACTCCCCATATCATTAGGGGGTACACCTCCTTGTGATGTGATTCATAATATCCAGGGGAGGAGAGAAAGGTGATTATCTCAATAGATGCAGAAAAGGCCTTTGACGAAATTCAACAATCCTTCATGCTAAAAACTCTCAATAAATTAGGTATTGATGGGACGTATCTCAAAATAATAAGAGCTATCTATGACAAACCCACAGCCAATATCATACTGAATGGGCAAAAACTGGAAGCATTCCCTTTGAAAACTGGCACAAGACAGGGATGCCCTCTCTCACTACTCCTATTCAACATAGTGTTGGAAGTTCTGGCCAGGGCAATCAGGCAGAAGAAGGAAATAAAGGGTATTCAATCAGGAAAAGAGGAAGTCAAATTGTCCCTGTTTGCAGATGACATGATTGTATATCTAGAAAAGCGCATCATCTCAGCCCAAAATCTCCTTAAGCTGATAAGCAACTTCAGCAAAGTCTCAGGATACAAAATCAATGTGCAAAAATCACAAGCATTCTTATACACCAATAACAGACAAACAGAGAGCCAAATCATGAGTGAACTCCCATTCACAATTGCTTCAAAGAGAAAAGAATACCTAGGAATCCAACTTATAAGAGACATGAAGGACCTTTTCAAGGAGAACTACAAACCACTGCTCAATGAAATAAAAGAGGATACAAACAAATGGAAGAACATTCCATGCTCATGGGTAGGAAGAATCAATATCGTGAAAATGGCCATACTGCCCAAGGTAATTCATAGATTCAATGCCATCCCCTTCAAGCTACCAATGACTTTCTTCACACAATTGGAAAAAACTACTTTAAAGTTCATATGGAACCAAAAAAGAGCCCACACTGCCAAGTCAATCCTAAGCAAAAAGAACAAAGCTGGAAGCATCACGCTACCTGACTTCAAACTATACTACAAGGCTACAGTAACCAAAACAGCATGGTACTGATACCAAAACAGAGATACAGACCAATGGAACAGAACAGAGCTCTCAGAAATAATGCCACATAAAAGTTTTTAGGGCCAGCAGTAATAAAAAATGAACAGGTTGAGAAACAACAAGTTAGACGATTCATCAAACAGGGCAAGTATATCATATTGTACATGCAAGGTTGAAAGTGTCATCCAAAGAATGAACAGGATTGTTACCGGAAAGGGGTCCCAAGCCAGACACCAAGAGAGGTCGTAAATCAGAGTTAGGAAGGGCCTGACATTTTGCCTGATGTTTCCTATTGTTAGGGAGTTTAGCAAACCTGTGGTTTTTGCTGTAGCCAAAGGAATTTAGGGAGTTGCCGTGGCAGCAAGGCCTTGGAGCCCTCAGCCTGTAGGTAACTTTTCATTGCCTTAGCCTTGGGGTCCATCTTATTCGATAAAGAGATATCTATTTTGGCTTCTCAGATTACAAAGGTAGCCAGAATATTTTAGCCTAAAATATACTTCTTTGAAATGTTTCAAGATGGCTGTTCAGGAGGGCTGGAAACACAAATTTAGCTGAAAAGCTGTCTTTTGTGAAGAAGATTTGCACCTGTAGAGAAAAATCTGCATTGATGCAGCCAGGCTTTCTCTGAGGCCTTCCCTTGTCCAGATTTAGGGATGATTAACTGAGGGTCTGATGTTTCTAAAGGCCTGAAACATTTACATCTATTGTCTCTGAGCACTGCTACCTGTGAGGGTCCATCCATGTAACAAGACCACCTTCGCTAGACAGGCCACCTCTTCTCTGGTCCCATAAGCCATTTTGCCACTGATCCAAGCCTCATTCTTTCTGGAAACTCAAGATGGTGTAAAAGCGTCAACCATCCGGTCATTTATTTGAGATCTTATGTTTTGTAAAACTCCTGTGCACTTTAATAAGTTCATATGCCTTTTCTCTTATTATTTCTCAGCTGTCTTTTTTCAGTTGATTTTCTGTGAACATTCAGATGAAGGGGAAGTTTTCCCTTGGCCTCCACAAGGTTTTATTAATTTCCACAAATTTCCGTAGAATTAGTAACAGTTAGAGGATTCAGTGGAGAATGTGGATAGTGGGAGGAGGAGGAAAGCTTATTCCAGTTAAAATTGGAAAGTTAAAAAGTAAATAGAGCACTGCCTTCCCAGGTGGAGAGATACTGTTGTTCTACATTCTGGAGCCTGCACGACTTCCTAGGACTCAGCTGCTCAGGGCTTCACACAAATAGCATAGCCCAGTGGAAAAGAACTGACATGTGGCCATCAGAACACCTTTATTCAAATTCCCACTCCTGCAGCAACAGTGTATTGAAATCCAAAACCTCTGAGCCCTAAGTTCCTCCTTTGTAAGACAGATGTGATGTATTTCCCACCTCTCTTTCTTGAGGATTCAGTGAGTAAACACAGGTAAATTGTCTGAGTGATTGACACATACCCACCACCTCCAGAGTATTAACCATCATTAGCATGGCAAAAACATAATTATGTTTCAACTGAAAACTGTGAATGAGGCCGGGTGGGGTGGCTCACGCCTGTAATCGCAGTGACCTGGGAGGCCGAGGCAGGCGGATCACCTGAGGTTGGGATTTCAACACCAGCCTGACCAACATGGAGAAACCCCGTCTCTACTAAAAAAAAAAATACAAAATTAGCCAGGCGTGGTGGCACATGCCTGTAATCCTAGCTACTTGGGAAGCTGAGGCAGGAGAATCGCTTGAACTTGGGAGGCAGAGGTTGCAGTGAGCCGAGATCGTGCCATTGCACTCAAGCCTGGGCAACAAGAGCTAAACTCTGTCAAAAAAAAAAGAAAGGAAAAGAAAGAAGGAAGGTAGAAGGAAAGAGAGAGAGAGAGAGAGAGAGAGAGAGAAAGAAAGAAAGAAAGAAAGAAAGAAAGAAAGAAAGAGAGAAAGAGAAAGAAAGAAAAGAAAGGAAAGAAAGAAAGAAAGAAAGAGAGAAAGAGAAAGAAAAGAAAGGAAAGAAAGAGAAAAAGAAAGAAAAGAAAGAAAGAAAGAGAAAGAAAGAGAGAAAGAGAGAAAGAGAAAGAAAGAAAAGAAAGGAAAGAAAGAGAAAAAGAAAGAAAAGAAAGAAAGAAAGAGAAAGAAAGAAAGAAAGAGAAAGAAAGAGAAAAAAAGAAGAAAGAAAGAAAGAAAGAGAAAGAAAGAAAAGAAAGGAAAGAAAGAGAAAAAGAAAGAAGAAAGAAAGAAAGAGAGAAAGAAAGAAAGAAAGAGAGAGAGAGAAAGAGAGAGAGAGAGAGAAAGAAAACAGTAATTTTCAGCACACCCTTCTGGTTATCAAGTTATCAGATTCCAGCCCTTTCCTGGGTTTGAGCTATTTGCGATTCTTGCTAAGTTGTAACTGACAGTCATGCAAATTATATCTTGTTAGGAACAGACTTCCTCCCAGTGGAAAAACCAGTTTCACTTTCATTTGCAATTCATCTCAACATTCTTCTACTCTGTAAATTTAAATTGGCTTGACTTTTCTATTAAGCTGGTTATAGCATCTGCCTAGTTCCCGCAGATACTATGAGTAACACAAATTCTTTAACTCATATTCATTTTTATAGCTGTGAGTCATGAGTTTATTTTTTCCTGAAAATTATATTTCGCTTTGATGTATGCTAGAAGTGACACGAATAGAAGAGGGGCCAGAGGTGTAATAACAACAACAGCCGGGTGTGGTGGCTCACGCCTGTAATCCCAGCACTTCGGGAGGCCAAGGCAGGTGGAACACCTAAGGTCAGGCGTTTGACCAACATGGTGAAACCCCATCTCTACCAAAAATACAAAAATTAGCTGGGCGTGGTGGCACATGCCTGCAATCCCAGCTACTCGAGAGGCTGAGGCAGAAGAATCGCTTGAACTCGGGAGGTGGAGGTTGCGGTGAGCCAAGGTTGTGCCTCTACAGTCCACCCTGACTGCAGGGTGAAACTCCGTCTCAAGGAAAGGAGGGAAGGAAGGAAGGAAAAGAGGGAGGGAGGGAGGGAGGGAACAACAACAAAGAGATAAGTAGATAAGAGTTTCAAGAGAGTTTTTTTTTAAAGAAGGAAAGAAACATGAGACAAAATAAAAAATGTAGTGACTATTCGAGAAAGGGGAACAAGCAGAGGAATAAGTACAGAATGGGACACCTGCAGCCAAAGCAGCCTTCATCAAACAGCGATTGCAGCAGAAAATTTTGCTAAAGGAGAAGAAACTTCAGCTTGGGCAACAAAGCATGACTCCATCTCAAAAAAATAAAGTATTTTCTTTAACATATATATGTGGATGTGGGGAGTTTTATAACTGTTGGAAATAAATCCTAACTGCCACACAGATAACTCATTCTCTATTCACCATTAACCCATCTAAGGGAGGAGACCACCCCTCATATTGTCTTATACCCAATTTCTGCCTCCAAAGAAAAAAAAAGTAAAAACTAAAAGGCAGAAATGAAATCCACAGGCAGACAGCCCGGCGCCACACCCTGGGTCTGGTAGTTAAAGATCGACCCCTAACCTAATCGGTTATGTTATCTATAGATTACAGACATTGCATAGAAAAGCACTGTGAAAATCCCTGTCCTGTTTTGTTCCAATTTAGTTACCGGTGCATGCAGCCCCCAGTCACGTACCCCCTGCTTGCTCAATTGATCACGACCCTCTCACGCGCACCCCCTTAGAGTGGTGAGCCCTTAAAAGGGACAGAAATTGCTCACTCGGGGAGCTCGGCTCTTGAGACAGGAGTCTTGCCCATGCCCCCAGCCGAATAAACCCCTTCCTTCTTTAACTCGGTGTCTGAGGAGTTTTTTCTGCGGCTTGTCTGCTACATTTCTTGGTTCCCTGACGGGGAAGCAAGGTGATTGGCAGATGGTTGAGGCAGCTCCTAAGGAGCTTAAGCCTGCCCTGTGGAACATCCTTGTGGGGGACTCTGACCAGCCCGAGCGACACGGATCCTGAGAGCGCAATGGGACGCCTCGCCAGAGTAGTGTGTGGCAGGCCCCTGTGGAGGATCAGCGCAGTGGCTGAACACCAGGAAGGAACTGGTACTTGGAGTCTGGACATCTGAAACTTGGTAAGACTAGTCTTGGGAACTTGCCCACTCCATTTGAGTGGAAGCGTGGCCTGATCACCCACGGCATGCCCGTACTGGCACTTTGGTTTTGATTTTGGTTTTGACTTGGTTTAAATTGCTTGACAGGACTGGTCTTGGGAACTTGCCCACTCCATTTGAGTGGAAGCGTGACCTGATCACCCACGACATGCCTGTACCGGCACTTTGGTTTTTGTTTCTGACTTGAATTGGATTGCTTGATACTTTGGTTTTGGTATTGACCTGGCTTGGATTTCTGGATACTCTGATTTTGGTTTTGATTTTGGTTTGGTGTAAACTACAAAAGTGTGTGTGTGCCCTTTTTACCCGTTCTTTGTTTTGTGGTGTGCATGTGGTGTGAGCGTGGTATTTTGTCTCGAGGAAACATGAGTGAGGCATAAAGTAAGCCCACCCCACTAGGAACTATGTTGAAAAATTTCAAAAAAAGGATTTAAGGGAGACTATGGAGTACTATGACACCAGGAAAACTTAAAACTTTATGTAAGATAGACTAGCCAGCATTAGAGGTAGGTTGGCCATTAGAAGGAAGCCTGTACAGGTCCCCTGTTTCAAAGGTATGGCACAAGGTAACCTGTAAGCCAAGGCATCCAGACCAGTTCCCATACATAGACACTTGATTACAGCTGGTTTTAGACCCCACGCCCCCAACACACAGTGGTTGAGAGAACAGCAGCATAAGCGACTGGCAGAGGCAAGGAAAGACCAGCAGAGAGAGAACGGAAAGAGACAGAGAGGAAAAGAGGAAAAGAGAGAGAGGAAGAGACAGACAAAGAAGGAGCCAAGGAGAGAGGGAGAAAGAGAAAGAAAGAGAGAGACAGAGAGAGAGAGAGAAAGAGACAGAGGCAAAAGGAAAGTGAAAGAGAGAGAGACAAAGTCAAAGAGAGAAAGAAAGAAAGACGATTTAACATTGACTGCTGAAAATTCCCTTAACCCAGCAGGTTTCCTAATGGGATCTAAATCTTAATTACCATACGAAGGTCTGACCAAACCTAGGAGGAACTCCCTTCAGGACAGGACGATCTATGGTTCCTTCTGGGTAATTGAAAAAAAAAAAAAAAAAGCCATCTATACCAATTCTAATTTGGACAAGACAAGGTCTTATTAATAGCAAAGGATAATTAAAATCCCAGACTTACAAGGTTTTCAACAAAAGTAAAGTTTGCTGAAAGTTAATAGTGTAACATGTATGATAGTAACTTCTATTCTTGTGGCCGTAGACAGTCTAGTTCACAGACATAAAAAAAGGTTTGCTTTGGAAAAGAATGGTTATCATCTTCGGGGAAAAAAAGGGTGGGGGCGGAATTCATATAAAAAGAGTGTTATATGGTAAATTCTTGTCCTGAAATATATTAACTGGTTGTTTAAAGAAAGAAATGTTTGTAATAAGTCAGAAAGTTAAGGCATGTCGAAAAATTGCCTGTAAAAGTCATGAAAGAAAAAAAAAAGGTTATTTTTAAAAGTGTGTTAAAAAAAGAACTTATGCAAAAAACGTTATATAATTTAAAAGTAACTAGGCCTCCTGAATGTAAAACTATTGAAAAAAAAAACAGTTTATGTCCAAGGTGTATAAGTAAAATATACCTTTAGTAAAAGGATTATGAGGCATAAGAATGTACATTTTTACCTACATTAAAAAGTTTAAAAAATTATTGTTTTGAAGGTTTAAGCAAGTTTTAAAACATTAGTTATAAAGAAAATTATGTGTGTAAACATATTAGCTAAAGTTAAAGAAGTATCATCCAGTTTTTCTGTGAACTGGACATTAAAGTAAAAGCATAACAAGTTTTTCTTAAAGCACCAACCTGCTCTTTAGCAAAAATTATAGAAGGTTAAAAAGAGTCTATAAAATCTTACCTTATGGTCAAACATTAAAAATTAAATAAATGTCTACTAGGTTTTATTAAAATTAGGTTTAACATTAATAACACACTAATATAAAGATAAAATTTAGCTTATCTAGTATAAAAATCATATGAGAAGCATTGTTAAACGTAAAATGGTATTTGGTTTTCTTTGGTTTAAAAACTAATAAAAATAGGTGCTAAAGGAAATTTCTCAGTAAAAAGGCACTAAGTATTATAAAGTCCACTGCCAAGGTCCCCACATTTAAAACAAAAGGTCAATCTCTTAAAAACTATATACTTGGTTTATCTTCCACTTTCCTTTCTCGCAAAAAAAACTAAAAGTCTTTTAGCACAGGTACTACCCCCAGAATTTCCAGTAAACCAGCACCAGCCTGAAGATCACGTTCTCATCGAAAGGTGGAAAGAAGAAAAACTCGAGTCAGCCTAGGAAGGACCCTACCTTGTGCTGCTAACCACCAAGACAGCTGCTCATACAGCAAAAAAGGATGGACTCATCACACCCAGTCAAGAAAGTGCCACCCCCGCCACAGAGTTGTGGGCCATAGTCCCAGAGGAAAACCCTACCAAACTAAAGCTAAGAAAAATCTAACGCTTTTCATCTATTACTCTTTCTTCTTTCCGCGCTCTATTGCTGACCCTCTAGTTATTAACATAACCAAGTCAATTTTGCCTCAAACTATTGCATTTAATGCTTGCCCTTTTATACCCTGTGGGGACGTGCCAAGTCAAAGACAGCTCTCTACTTCAGAAAAGCACTTCTGTCCCCCTGACTCTCCTCAGACTGGGCGTTAGTAAACTAGGACCATTTAATCCCGGGAGATTTCGATAAACACCCCAGTGCCAACCAGGAGTCTTGCCCCCCGATGTAGAGCTTCCCTGCCATAGTTGGTCCAATGTTCTGTGGACCACTAAAGAGCAAGGATGGACTGCCCCAACCAGTTTTTGTAATTTCCTAAAACCATACATTCATTTTACTAGAGGATTATAGAAGTTAAAGACTTAAAACAAACTTTAGCAATTAAGACAGGATACCACGATGCAAATGCCTAGTTAAAATGGATCAAATATTCCATCTGCACGTTAAACAAAAGCAATTGTTATGCTCGTGCACATGGCAGACCAGAGGCCCAGATTGTCCCCTTTCCACTAAGGTGGTCCTCCAGTCGACCAGGCGTGGGCTGCATGGTAGCTCTTTTCCAGGATTCTACAGTCTGGAGTAACAAGACGTGCCAAGCTCTCTCTGCTATATCCCAAAGTCCAGCACCCTGAGGGTCAGCCCCCGAGGGCCATCCAGCTTCCATCTTCCAACACTAAGTTCATTTCGTGTCTCTCATGACAGGGAGGAAACTTAGCATTCCTTGGATACCTGAAAGGATGCAGTGAGCTTAAGAATTTTCGAGAGCTTATCAATCAGTCAGCCCTTGTTCATCCCTGAGCGGATGTGTGGTGGTATTGTGGTGGACCTTTACTGGGCACTCTGCTGAATAACTGGAGTGGCACTTGTGCTTTAGTCCAATTGGCTATCCCTTTCACCCTGGCATTTCATCAACCAGAAGGAAAAAAAATAAGACACTGTAAAGCGAGAGAAGCCCCTTACGGGTCTTTCGACTCTCGTGTCTATTTAAATGCAACTGGAGTCCCACGAAGAATAGCAGATCAATTTAAAGCTTGAAATCAAACAGCTGCAGGATTTAAGTCAATATTTTGGTGGGTGACAGTTAAGAAAAATGTAGTTTAGATAAACTACATCTATTACAACCAACAGCAACAAGCTTTTCATGAGTTAAAAGAAAAACTCACGTCAGCCCCAGCCCTGAGGCCACCTGACCTGACAAAACTCTACGCTCTATGTGTCAGAAAGAGAAAAAATGGCAGTTGAAGTTTTAACCCAGACTGTGGGGCCCTGGCCAAGGCCAGTGGCCTATCTCTCAAAACAACTAGACAGGGCTTCCAAAGCCTGGCCCCCAGGTCTAAGGGCCCTAGCAGCAAGGGCCCTGTTAGCACAAGAAGCAGATAAACTAACCCTTAGGCAAAACCTGGATATAAAGGCCCCCCATGCTGTGGTAACTTTAATAAATACAGAAGGACATCATTGGTTAACAAAGGCTAGATTAACCAAGTACCAAAGCTCGCTATGTGAAAATCCCCACATAACCATTGAAGTTTGCAACACCCTAAACCCCACCACCTTGCTCCCGGTATCAGAGAGCCCAGCTGAACATAACTGTATAGAGGTGTTGGACTCAGTTTATTCTAGCAGGCCTAACCTCTGAGACCATCCTTAAACATCAGTAGACTGTGAGCTGTATGTGGATGGGAGTAGCTTCGCCAACCCCTGCAAAGTGACTCTGAAGAAGACGACCAGCCCTGCTCCAGTCACACCTGGAAGCTGACTGGTCCACGCATGGCTGAAGCATGAGGAAACTCATCGCGGGACTCATTTTCCTTAAAATTTGGACTTGTACAGTAAGGACTTCAACTGACCTTCCTCAGACTGGGGCTGTTCCCAGTGCATACATCAAGTCGCTGAGGTAGGATAAAAGGTTGCTACAGTCTTATTATTTTATGGTTATTATAAGTGTACTGGAACTCTAAAAAGAACTTGTTTGTATAATGTTATTCTATACAAGGTATGTAGCCCAGGAAATGACCAATCTGATATGTGTTATGACCCATCTGAGCCTCCCATGACCACAGTTTTTAAAATAAGATTAAGGACTGAGGACTGGTGGGGGCTCATAAACGATACGAGTAAAGTGTTAGCCAAAACAGAAGAAAAAGGGGTGCCCAAACAAGTCACCTTAAAATTTGATGCCTGTGCTGTCATTAATAGTAATAAGTTAGGAATAAGGTGTGGTTCTCTTAATTAGAAAAGAGGCTATACGGCAGAAAATAAGTACATCTGTCATAAATTAGGGCTGTGTGGAAATAAATGTAAACACTGGTCTTGTGTCCTTTAGGCCACTTGGATAAAAAAAAAAAATGAGAAGGATCCAGTCCACCTTCAGAAAGGAAAAAATGGCCCTTCCTGTACTAAGGGACAATGTAACCCCTTAGAGCTAGTAATAACCAAGCCCCTTGAACCTCGCTGGGAAAAAGAGGAGCGTGTGACCTTAGGAATTGACGGGGCCGGACTGGATCCTTGAGTAAATATCTTGGTTCGAGGAGAAGTTTACAAACGCTCTCCTGAGCCAGCGTTTCAAACTTTCTATGATGAACTAAATGTGCCAGTACCAGAAATTCCAGGAAAAACATGAAATTTGTTTTTGCAATTAGCCAAGCATGTAGCCCAGTCTCTCAATGTCACTTCACATTATGTATGTGGAGGAACTGTAATGGGAGATCAATGGCCATGGGAAGCCCGAGAATTAGTACCTACAGACCCAGTTCCTGATGAATTCCCGGCTCAAAAGAATCACCCTGATAATTTCTAGGTCCTAAACGCCTCAATTATTGGACAATATTGCATAGCTAGGGAAGGAAAAGAATTTACTCACCCTGTAGGATGACTTAGTTGTCGGAGACAGAAACTGTATAATGGTACCACAAAAACAGTCACTTGGTGGAGTTCAAATCACACAGAGAGAAATCCATTTCATAAATTCCCAAAGTTGCAGATCGTGTGGACCCACCTGGAGTCCCACCAGGACTGGACGGCCCCCACTGGATTATACTGGATATGTAGGCATAGAGCTTATGCCAAATTACCTGACCAGTAGGCAGGTAGTTGTGTTATTGGCACTATTAAACCATCTTTCTTCCTACCGCCCATAAAAACAGGCAAACTCCTGGGCTTCCCTGTCTATGCTTCCCATGAAAAGAGAAGCATAGCTATAAGAAATTGAAAAAATGATAAATGGCCCCCTAAGAGAATCGTGCAATATTATGGGCCTGCTACTTAGGTACAAGACGGCTCATGAGGATACCGGACCCACATGTACATGATCAACCAAATCATATGGTTACAAGCTGTCTTAAAAATAATCACTAATAAAACCGGCAGAGCCTTGACCATTCTGACCCAGCAAGAAACTCAGATGAGAAATGCTATCTATCAAAACAGATTGGCTCTTGACTACTTGCTAGCAGCTGAAGGAGAAGTCTGTAGGAAATTTAACCTTATTAATTGCTGCCTACACATAGATAATCAAGGGCAAGTATTTGAAGACATAGTTAGAGATATGACAAAACTGGCACACGTGCCCATGCAAGTGTGACGGATTTGATCCTGGGGCCATGTTTAGAAAATGGTTCCCAGAGCTAGGAGGATTTAAAACTCTTATAATAAGAGTTATAATAGTAATAGGAACCTACTTACTGCTCCTTTGTTTGCTACCTGTACTTCTTCAAATGATAAAAAGCTTCATCACTACCTTAGTTCACCAAAAGCTTCAGCACAAGTGTACTATATGAATCACTATTGATCTGTCTTGCCAGAAGACATGGGTAGTAAAAATGAAAGTGAGAACTCCCACTATTGAGTGAGACTCTCAAAGGGGGGAATAAGGGAGTAGACCACCCCTCATATTGTCTTATGCCCAATTTCTGCCTCCAAAGAAAAAAAAAGTAAAAACTAAAAGGCAAATATCAAATCCACAAGCAGACAGCCCAGCACCACACCCTGGGCCTGGTAGTTAAAGATTGACCCCTGACATAATCGGTTATGTTATCTATAGATTACAGACATTGTATAGAAAAGCACTGTGAAAATCCCTGTCCTGTTTTGTTCCGATCTAATTACCAGCCCCCAGTCACGTACCCCCTACTTGCTCAATCGATCACGACCCTCTCACGCGCACCCCCTTAGAGTTGTGAGCCCTTAAAAGGGACGGGAATTGCTCACTTGGGGAGCTCGGCTCTTGAGACAGGAGTCTTGCCGATGCCCCTGGTCGAATAAACCCCTTCCTTCTCTAACTCGGTGTCTGAGGAGTTTTGTCTGCGGCTCTTCCTACTACACATCCACATCAGTACTTCTTACAAACAGCATCCTTGAATAGTCAGAGGGGGTGCTCTGGAAGCACAGGAATCCCCCTCTCTGGGGCTCTGGTTTGTTTACACTTACACAATGCCCTGGGGCTGGTGACTTTAGATGTGAGGTGTGGAGGTGAGGAGGATACAAAAGAGCGCAGAAATACACTTGTGGAGGAGGAGGGAGCCGAGCACAGGAGCAACGGCAGAGGAATGAGGACCACCCCTCAGCTGGCCTTTCACACCACTCCCTCTCACCTTGTGTTCGCCCTTGGTCTATGAACACTCTCCCAACTTTTTCCAGAATGTGTCCACCCTCCAAATGCCCGGAACAAGAGCAGGGGGTGATATACTTCCTGGGTTCTTAAAATGTAGTCCGAGTCCCCAAAGTAGGGACATCACCTGGGAGGTTTGCAGAGTCGCAGAAACTCAGACCCCTCTTATCACCAGCTGAATTGGAATTGCATTGGAACAAGACCTCAGATAACTGGAGGGCACGTTAGTGGGACACATTGAGGACTGCAATGTGTAAGGAACAGTAGCCAGTCATGCCCCTTAGCCCCAAAGGGTCTTTGACATTGTGTGCCAAATGCTTAAGGATTTTTGCTCTTTGAAATTTCATGATGCAATAGAAACCATATGAATCGGGAGTCTGACAGAACTTGGAAAAAACCCTGGTTCAGTTCCCCTCGAGCAAAAGATTTAACCTTCAGATCTCAAGGACCAGGGAGATAAAATGGGAATAATGATAATCATGCTGACCTCATACAAATACTGAGGTTGCATGACTTAGGAGCGTCTGGTACACAGAAGGGACTAAACCAATGTCAGGTTCTTCTTACTAATAATGAAAAAAACATGCCTGAGAAAGAATGATGCTTTAAGATTTAAACAACCCATGCATCATAACTTACAGGTTCACTTCTTGGTTTATGCAGAATCTTACACCAGATAAAGGGTAAAACAAACTCTACGATTTCATGAAAAGGTTTGGGTAGGAATTGGGAATATAGAAAATATAAAACTGTGCTGCATTCCATGATTTGATGGCCCTAAACAGAGAGGCACTTGGACCACGTGGAGAACAGTGATGCATTTGGGGTCATTCTGACTGAAACATGTCAGGTGTGTTAGACTTTAAAGCAAACAACAACAAACAAAGCAAAGCTCTGATTGAGAAGAGTTATTTCCTCTTAGCACTCTGGTATAAGTAGGTGGAAACTCATCTTTACAACTGTTTGTCTCACTTCATTCTTTGCAGCTGCTTTACAGATCATGATGGGTTTTGGGGATGATTTGTGTTATATAGTTCACACATAAATCACATAATGTTGGCCAGTCGCAGTGACTCACACTTGTAATCCCAGAACTTTTAGGAGGCCATGGCAGGGGGATCACATGAGGCCAGGAGTTTGGGACCAGCCTGGTCAACACAGCAAGACCCCGTCTCCATAGAAGACAGAAAAGCCACAAGCCACAATTCCCACTGCCAGTGATGCACACCTGTAGTCCCAGTTACTTGGAAGGCTGAGGTGGGGGAGGATCGCTTAAGCCCAATAGTCGAAGGAGCTATGGTGGCACCACTGCACTCTACCCTAGGTGACAGAGTGAGACCCCGTCTCAATTTTAAGAGCAACAACAAAAACACATAATGTCAGAACTGAAACAGCCTCACAAAAGTCCAGAAAAAGGCAAGTTGGGAGTCGTGGGCTAATATCAGCTGGAATTCAGCCGTTCCAGATGCTGCCAGTGGCCCTGGATGGAAGTGAAGTCAGGTGGAGATGCCTTTACTCCTTTCCTAGCTCTCTCTTCCCCAGAAGCAACCTTCCCAGTGCCCCCTTCACCTCTCTGTTTCTGAGGGTGTAGATGAGAGGATTGAGGAGGGGGGTGACAATGTTGTAGAAGAGCATGAGGAACATGCCCTGGTCCTGGGAAGAACTGGCTCCTGGCTGCATGTACATGTAGATGATGTTTCCATAGAAAAGGGAGACCACAGTGAGATGGGAGCCGCAGGTGCCGAAGGCCTTCTGCCTTCCTGATGCTGACCGAATTTGTAACACAGCCCTCACAATGTAGCTGTAAGAGAGCAGGATAAACACCAAGGGGGACAGCACAACACCCACCGCCAGGACAAAGACGGTGCCTTCGATGGCCACAGTGCTGACGCAGGCCATCCGGATCAGGGCGGGCATCTCACGCAGGAAGTGGTCCACCTCGTGGTGCCCACAGCGGGGTAAGCGCAGGGTCACAGGAGACATGGCCAAGGAGTTGGCCACCCCACAGCCCCAGGTCACTGACACCAAGCCCCGGCAGAGCCTGGGGTTCATGATCACCATGTAGTGCAGGGGCTTGCAGATAGCCACACACCGGTCATAGGCCATGACAGCCAGAAGCAGGCACTCCACACCACCCAGACCCAGGAACAGGAAGAGCTGGATGGCACAGCCCATGTAGCTGATGGTCTTGTCACATCCATTAAGGTTGTAGAGCAGCTGGGGGATGGAGCTGGTGGTGAAACTGAGGTCCAGGAAGGAAAGGTGGGCGAGGAAGAAGTACATGGGGGTGTGGAGGTGGGGGTCCAGCCGGGACACCAGGATGATGGTGGTGTTGCCTACGAGGGTCAGGAGGTACGCGATCAGGATGACCACAAAGAGGATCCTCTCCAGATGGGGTCGGTCAGAGAATCCCAGTAGGATGAAATGGGTTTGGGTGCTGCCATTGGTTCCATCCATCTCTACTGCTGCTGAACAGAAATATCAATCCTAATAATAATAATAACAGCTGATATTAAGGGAGAACTTACTAGAAGCTAAGCATTCTTCTATGCTTTTTATATTTATTTTATTCATTCAACCCCAACAGTTATATGGAGTTGCACTATTATTATTAGCTCCCAACTTATAGAAAAGGAAACTGAAACACATGTGTGTTGAGCAAACTGTGATATGTAGGAAGACACAGAGCTGATTCTGAACCCCGGCAATGTAGCTGAGAGTGTGCAATCTAAACCACCAGTAGCACTGCCTCCAAATCCAGTGAAGTGAAGGCAAATCCTGCTGTGGCCAAACCACGAATTTTTCTAGAGACTCCAGTCCCTAGGCTCCTGCCAAAAACCTCAAGGACTCAAAATGGAGCCTCAAAATAATCCATCAATAGTATTTAGGAAATACTCTTTACACACAGAGTACTTTATCTATTACTGGTCTCAAAGACACACCTCATTCATTGGGTTACCATTACTGAGGTAATTTTTAAATTACCTCAGAATTTAATTTAATTTAATTTTAAAATTACCTCAGTAGATAAATAATGTAAGAGACAGGCAAAATACACATAAAATCTCTTTTTTTCTCTCTGTCTTTTAAATGGGCCTGGTATTGAACAAATAGAGTGTATGGGTTTTTCTTCCAAAGTACTATATACTGCTTGAGAGGATAAAAGAGATTGAAAAAACTTTGTAACAGATATTACAACTGTAATGCAAAATTCACGCATATGTACAGAAACCTCTATCACGTTCCAACTCTAATACCACATCACATTCAAAGCAAAGCATATTTGATAAGACAAACCACAAGTCTTACAGATGGATATAGGGAGACTTGGTCCATCCTGGTGTTTGGGTGATGGATGCATTAAAAGCCAAGACTTCGCCACTGTGCAATACATGCAGCTAAAAAGCAGTACCCCCAAATTAATATAAATAGATATAAGCATGTATGTGCAGGTAAAAAGCAGTACTCCCAAATTAATATAAATAGATATAAGTATGTATGTGCAGGTAAAAAGCAGTACTCCCAAATTAATATAAATAGATATAAGTATGTATGTGCAGGTAAAAAGCAGTACTCCCAAATTAATATAAATAGATATAAGCATGTATGTGCAGGTAAAAAGCAGTACTCGCAAATTAATATAAATCCATACGTGGAGGTAACAAAACAGTACTCCCAAACTAAGACAAATAAAAATAAATACATGCGAAGATGGCCGAATAGGAACAGCTCCGGTCTACAGCTCCCAGCGTGAGCGACGCAGAAGACAGGTGATTTCTGCATTTCCATCTGAGGTACCGGGTTCATCTCACTAGGGAGTGCCAGACAGTGGGCGCAGGCCAGTGGGTGCGCGCACCGTGCACAAGCCGAAGCAGGGCGAGGCATTGCCTCACCTGGGAAGCGCAAGGGGTCAGGGAGTTCCCTTTCCCAGTCAAAGAAAGGGGTGACGGACGCACCTGGAAAATCAGGTCACTCCCACCCGAATATTGCGCTTTTCAGACCGGCTTAAAAAACGGCGCACCACGAGACTATATCCCACACCTGGCTCGGAGGGTCCTACGCCCATGCAATCTCGCTGATTGCTAGCACAGCAGTCTGAGATCAAACTGCAAGGCAGCAGCGAGGCTGGGGGAGGGGCGCCCGCCATTGCCCAGGCTTGCTTAGGTAAACAAAGCAGCCTGGAAGCTCGAACTGGGTGGAGCCCACCACAGCTCAAGGAGGCCTGCCTGCCTCTGTAGGCTCCACCTCTGGGGGCAGGGCACAGACAAACAAAAAGACAGCAGTAACCTCTGCAGACTTAAATGTCCCTGTCTGACAGCTTTGAAGAGAGCAGTGGTTCTCCCAGCATGCAGCTGGAGATCTGAGAACGGGCAGACTGCCTCCTCAAGTGGGTCCCTGACCCCTGACCCCCGAGCAGCCTAACTGGGAGGCACCCCCCAGCAGGGGCACACTGACACCTCACACGGCAGGGTATTCCAACAGACCTGCAGCTGAGGGTCCTGTCTGTTAGAAGGAAAACTAACAAACAGAAAGGACATCCACACCAAAAACCCATCTGTACATCACCATCATCAAAGACCAAAAGTAGATAAAACCACAAAGATGGGGAAAAAACAGAACAGAAAAACTGGAAACTCTAAAACGCAGAGCGCCTCTCCTCCTCCAAAGGAACGCAGTTCCTCACCAGCAACAGAACAAAGCTGGATGGAGATTGATTTTGACGAGCTGAGAGAAGAAGGCTTCAGACGATCAAATTACTCTGAGCTACGGGAGGACATTCAAACCAAAGGCAAAGAAGTTGAAAACTTTGAAAAAAATTTAGAAGAATGTATAACTAGAATAACCAATACAGAGAAGTGCTTAAAGGAGCTGAAGGAGCTGAAAACCAAGGCTCGAGAACTACATGAAGAATGCAGAAGCCTCAGGTGCCGATGCGATCAACTGGAAGAAAGGGTATCAGCAATGGAAGATGAAATAAATGAAATGAAGCGAGAAGGGAAGTTTAGAGAAAAAAGAATAAAAAGAAATGAGCAAAGCCTCCAAGAAATATGGGACTATGTGAAAAGACCAAATCTACGTCTGATTGGTGTACCTGAAAGTGATGCGGAGAATGGAATCAAGTTGGAAAACAGTCTGCAGGATATTATCCAGGAGAACTTCCCCAATATAGCAAGGCAGGCCAACGTTCAGATTCAGGAAATACAGAGAACGCCACAAAGATACTCCTTGAGAAGAGCAACTCCAAGACACATAATTGTCAGATTCACCAAAGTTGAAATGAAGGAAAAAATGTTAAGGGCAGCCAGAGAGAAAGGTCGGGTTACCCTCAAAGGGAAGCCCATCAGACTAACAGCGGATCTCTTGGCAGAAACCCTACAAGCCAGAAGAGAGTGGGGGCCAATATTCAACATTCTTAAAGAAAAGAATTTTCAACCCAGAATTTCATATCCAGCCAAACTAAGCTTCATAAGTGAAGGAGAAATAAAATACTTTACAGACAAGCAAACGCTGAGAGATTTTGTCACCACCAGGCCTGCCCCAAAAGAGCTCCTGAAGGAAGTGCTAAACATGGAAAGGAACAACCGGTACCAGCCGCTGCAAAATCATGCCAAAATGTAAAGACCATTGAGACTAGGAAGAAACTGCATCAACTAACGAGCAAAATCACCAGCTAACATCATAATGACAGGATCAAATTCACACATTACAATATTAACCTTAAATGTAAATGGACTAAATTCTCCAATTAAAAGACACAGACTGGCAAGTTGGATAAAAAGTCAAGACCCATCAGTGTGCTGTATTCAGGAAACCCATCTCACGTGCAGAGACACACATAGGCTCAAAATAAAAGGATGGAGGAAGATCTACCAAGCAAATGGAAAACAAAAAAAGGCAGGGGTTGCAATCCTAGTCTCTGATAAAACAGACTTTAAACCAACAAAGATCAAAAGAGACAAAGAAGGCCATTACATAATGGTAAAGGATCAATTCAACAAGAGGAGCTAACTATCCTAAATATATATGCACCCAATACAGGAGCACCCAGATTCATAAAGCAAGTCCTGAGTGACCTACAAAGAGACTTAGACTCCCACACATTAATAATGGGAGACTTTAACACCCTACTGTCAACATTAGACAGATCAACGAGACAGAAAGTCAACAAGGATACCCAGGAATTGAACACAGCTCTGCACCAAGCGGACCTAATAGACATCTACAGAACTCTCCACCCCAAATCAACAGAATATACATTTTTTTCAGCACCACACCACACCTATTCCAAAATTGACCACATAGTTGGAAGTAAAGCTCTCCTCAGCAAATGTAAAAGAACAGAAATTGTAACAAACTATCTCTCAGACCACAGTGCAATCAAACTAGAACTCAGGATTAAGAATCTCACTCAAAGCCGCTCAACTACATGGAAACTGAACAACCTGCTCCTGAATGACTACTGGGTACATAACAAAAAGAAGGCAGAAATAAAGATGTTCTTTGAAACCAACAAGAACAATGACACAACATACCAGAATCTCTGGGACGCATTCAAAGCAGTGTGTAGAGGGAAATTTATAGCACTAAATGCCCACAAGAGAAAGCAGGAAAGATCCAAAATTGACACCCTAACATCACAATTAAAAGAACTAGAAAAGCAACAGCAAACACATTCAAAAGCTAGCAGAAGGCAAGAAATAACTAAAATCAGAGCAGAACTGAAGGAAATACAGACACAAAAAACCCTTCAAAAAATCAATGAATCCAGGAGCTGGTTTTTTGAAAGGATCAACAAAATTGATAGACCGCTAGCAAGACTAATAAAGAAAAAAAGAGAGAAGAATCAAATAGACACAATAAAAAATGATAAATGGGATATCACCACCGATCCCACAGAAATACAAACTACCATCAGAGAATACTACAAACACCTCTACGCAAATAAACTAGAAAATCTAGAAGAAATGGATAAATTCCTCGACACATACACTCTCCCAAGACTAAACCAGGAAGAAGTTGAATCTCTGAATAGACCAATAACAGGAGCTGAAATTGTGGCAATAATCAATAGTTTACCAACCAAAAAGAGTCCAGGACCAGATGGATTCACAGCTGAATTCTACCAGAGGTACAAGGAGGAACTGGTACCATTCCTTCTGAAACTAATCCAATCAATAGAAAAAGAGGGAATCCTCCCTAACTCATTGTATGAGGCCAGCATCATTCTGATACCAAAGCCAGGCAGAGACACAACCAAAAAAGAGAATTTTAGACCAATATCCTTGATGAACATTGATGCAAAAATCCTCAATAAAATACTGGCAAACTGAATCCAGCAGCACATTAAAAAGCTTATCCACCATGATCAAGTGGGCTTCATCCCTGGGATGCAAGGCTGGTTCAATATACGCAAATCAATAAATGTAATCGAGCATATAAACAGAGCCAAAGACAAAAACCACATGATTATCTCAATAGATGCAGAAAAGGCCTTTGACAAAATTCAACAACCCTTCATGCTAAAAACTCTCAATAAATTAGGTATTGATGGGACGTATCTCAAAATAATAAGAGCTATCTATGACAAAGCCACAGCCAATATCATACTGAATGGGCAAAAACTGGAAGCATTCCCTTTGAAAACTGGCACAAGACAGGGATGCCCTCTATCACCACTCCTATTCAACATAGTGTTGGAAGTTCTGGCCAGGGCAATTAGGCAGGAGAAGGAAATAAAGGGTATTCAATTAGGAAAAGAGGAAGTCAAATTGTCCCTGTTTGCAGACGACATGATTGTTTATCTAGAAAACCCCATTGTCTCAGCCCAAAATCTCCTTAAGCTGATAAGCAACTTCAGCAAAGTCTCAGGATACAAAATCAATGTACAAAAATCACAAGCATTCCTATACACCAACAACAGACAAACAGAGAGCCAAATCATGAGTGAACTCCCATTCACAATTGCTTCAAAGAGAATAAAATACCTAGGAATCCAACTTACAAGGGATGTGAAGGACCTCTTCAAGGAGAACTACAAACCACTACTCAAGGAAATAAAAGAGGATACAAACAAATGGAAGAACATTCCATGCTCATGGGTAGGAAGAATCAATATCGTGAAAATGGCCATACTGCCCAAGGTAATTTACAGATTCAATGCCATCCCCATCAAGCTACCAATGACTTTCTTCACAGAATTGGAAAAAACTACTTTAAAGTTCATATGGAACCAAAAAAGAGCCTGCATCGCCAAGTCAATCCTAAGCCAAAAGAACAAAGCTGGAGGCATCACACTACCTGACTTCAAACTATACTACAAGGCTACAGTAACCAAAACAGCATGGTACTGGTACCAAAACAGAGATATAGATCAACGGAACAGAACAGAGCCCTCAGAAATAACGCCGCTTACCTACAACTATCTGATCTTTGACAAACCTGAGAAAAACAAGGAATGGGGAAAGGATTCCCTTTTTAATAAATGGTGCTGGGAAAACTGGCTAGCCATATGTAGAAAGCTGAAACTGGATCCTTTCCTTACACCTTATACAAAAATCAATTCAAGATGGATTAAAGATTTAAACGTTAGACCTAAAACCATAAAAACCCTAGAAGAAAACCTAGGCATTACCATTCAGGACATAGGCGTGGGCAAGGACTTCATGTCCAAAACACCAAAAGCAATGGCAACAAAAGCCAAAATTGACAAATGGGATCTAATTAAACTAAAGAGCTTCTGCACAGCAAAAGAAACTACCATCAGAGTGAACAGGCAACCTACAACATGGGAGAAAATTTTTGCAACCTACTCATCTGACAAAGGGCTAATATCCAGAATCTACAATGAACTCAAACAAATTTACAAGAAAAAAACAACCCCATCAAAAAGTGGGCGAAGGACATGAACAGACACTTCTCAAAAGAAAACATTTATGCAGCCAAAAAACACATGAAAAAATGCTCATCATCACTGGCCATCAGAGAAATGCAAATCAAAACCACTATGAGATATCATCTCACACCAGTTAGAATGGCAATCATTAAAAAGTCAGGAAACAACAGGTGCTGGAGAGGATGTGGAGAAATAGGAACACTTTTACACTGTTGGTGGGACTGTAAACTAGTTCAACCATTGTGGAAGTCAGTGTGGCGATTCCTCAGGGATCTAGAACTAGAAATACCATTTGACCCAGCCATCCCATTACTGGGTATATACACAAAGGACTATAAATCATGCTTCTATAAAGACACATGCACACGTATGTTTATTGCGGCATTATTCACAATAGCAAAGACTTGGAACTAACCCAAATGTCCAACAATGATAGACTGGATTAAGAAAATGTGGCACATATACACCATGGAATACTATGCAGCCATAAAAAATGATGAGTTCATGTCCTTTGTAGGGACATGGATGAAATTGGAAACCATCATTCTCAGTAAACTATCGCAAGAACAAAAAACCAAACACCACATATTCTCACTCATAGATGGGAATTGAACAATGAGATCACATGGACACAGGAAGGGGAATATCACACTCTGGGGACTGTGGTGGGGAGGGGGGAGGGAGGAGGGATAGCATTGGGAGATATACCTAATGCTAGATGACGAGTTAGTGGGTGCAGCGCACCAGCATGGCACATGTATACATATGTAACTAACCTGCACAATGTGCACATGTACCCTAAAACTTAAAGTATAATTAAAAAATAAATAAAAAAAGAAAAAATAAATAAATTAATTAAAAAAAATCATTAAGATCTCTGCCTACAGAAAAACTAGTTTTTGTAGTGAATGCTCAATAAATACATTTTTTCTTTGTTAAAAAATAAATAAATATATAAATAAATAAATACATGCATACATTTTGGGCTACAGCTCCAAACTACTCTGCATTATCCCTATGCCAACAAGACTAAATTACAAGATGTCAGCAAGCTCATTTGTCTTTTCACAGTTTTCTCATCTAAAATGGTAATAATCAAACCTACCTTACTTAGTTTACAGCTATGCTTTGAGAGTTTTTAATGTGAAATATAAATATATAAAACATATACAAGTTCAGTGAGTGTCAAGGTTTCTACATATGTTACAAAAAAAGGTGAAGTGTCATGCAAACACAGAACAGAAACACAAGCCCATAAGTCTAGCCAGAGAAATCCAGAAGAAAAAAAGCCTACTGAAGAGAAACTATCTTATATCTAATCAAGCTTTCAAAATACAATAACTACATCATGATAACTGACAAGGCATTTGTGGGAGGAAGGGAGTGTGGGTCGCTTCTTTATTACCTACACCAAAAATATAAAATTACAAATTATATATTTAAACATTTAAAAAATACAACTACAATCAGAAAGCATGACAGTTATTTTTCCTTTTTTTCCCAATTATCTTGAATAAGTATACATCATAAGCCAAGTTGCAATTCTCGAAAGTTAAAAAGCAAAACATAGATAAATTGTATTACCTATTTAGAAAAATTTACACTCTAAGAAACACTTTTGGCCAGGTGCGGTGGCTCATGCCTGTAATCCCAGCCCTTTGGGAGGCCAAGGTGGGTGGATCACCTGAGGTCAGGAGTTCACAACTAGCCTGGCCAACACAGTGAAAGCCCTTCTCTACTAAACATACAAAAATTACATAGGTGTGGTGGTGCACACCTGTAATCCCAGCTACTCGGGAGGTTGAGGCAGAAGAATAGCGTGAACCCGGGAGGCGGAGGTTGCAGTGAGCCGAGATCGTGTCACTGCACTCCAGCTTGGGTGACAGAGTAAGACTCTGTCTCAAAAACAAAACAAAACAAAACAAAAAGAAACACTACTAGCAAAGTCTAAAAAATAATAACAATAGTAGAAAAATTCAACAAGACAACTGAAGGCTACCTTACTTAATTTTTTTCTCAAAAAAGTGGCAAGAAAAACCTGTAGTAAAAGAAAAATATGTAATGACTTGAAGAAACAGTTCACAGGAAAATGCATGATTTACAAGCAAGTGATATAAACATTAGAAATGTTTTCACTGATGATTGAGGTTATAAAAATTTAAATATAAAGATATTTGCTTTTCCAGATAGGTAAATAGTGAAAAGTGTGGTAATATCCAGAGCTTGAAAAAATGTGGGAAATAAGTCCAATCTCATAAACTTTTTTTTTTTTTTTTGAGACAGAGTCTCACTGTATCACTCAGGCTGGAGTGCAGTGGTGTGATCTGGGCTCACTGCAGCCTCATCCTCCCAGGTTCTCCTGCCTCAGCCTCCCAAGTAGCTGAGATTACAGGCATGTGCCACCACACCCAGCTAATTTTTGTATATTTAGTTGAGATGGGGTTTTGCCATGTTGCCCAGGCTGGTCTTGAACTCCTGATCTCAAGCGATCCACCCATCTTGGACTCCCAAAGTGCCAGGATTACAGGTATGAGCCATCATGCCTGGCCTCATGAACTCTTGATAAGAGTCAAAATTGAAATAGTATCTTTGGAGAGATCTTAAAAAAATGACTATTTAAATACACATATACCTTGACATAGTACATATTATTTTAACAAAAGAAATATCTGTCTTTCATAAAATGTTAAATGACATGCTTTTCTCATTGCCCTGTTAATTCCACATCTAGGAATCTGCTTTGCATTTATTAACCCTCAATCAGTAAACACATACTCTCAAAAACTTCATTATAGCATCTACTGAAATAGATAATACTGGGAAACAAGGTATGTTAAAGTGATAGACATGATTTAATAGACGACTGGAAACAATCACTAAATTGGAATGACATTACCCAGAATTTTGTCCAAAAAAAAGATATTAATATCAAACAAGTAGAAAGCTAACTATACTGGGTGCGGTGCCTCACGCCTGTAATCCCAGCACTTTGGGAGGCTGAGGAGGGTGGATCACGAGGTCAGGAGTTCGAGACCAGCCTGGCCAGGATGGTGAAACCCCATCTCTACTAAAATATACAAAAATTAGCCAGGCATGGTGGCACATGCTTGTAACCCCAGCTACTTAGGAGGCTGAGGCAGGAGAATCGCTTGAACCCGGGAGGCGGAGGTTGCAGTGAGGCAAGATCGCACCACTGCACTCCAGCCTGGTGACGGAGCGAGACTCCATCTCAAAAAACAAAAAAAAAAAGAAAGAAAGCTAAATATAATGTATAGTGAGATTATATGTAGTGTGACTCCATTTTTTGTTCACAAACTCTCACTATACAAACACAAATACACACGGTACGTATATATGTATACAGGCACATGTTGCAGAACAACACATTTTGGTCAACAACAAATTACATCTGTGGTGGTTTCACCTCCTCAAGAGGAGTCTGAGGCAGGTCCTTCAGGCAGTATCGTAGAAGGCATTGTGATCATAGGAGGTGACAGCTCCATGCATGTGGCTGCCCCGGAAATCCTTCCAGTGGGACAAGGTGTAGAGGTGGAAGACAGTGGTACTGATCATTCTGTCTCAGTGGACACCCAGGCTAATGTGTTTGCTTGTGTCTTAGTTTGCAATGAAAAAGTTTGAAAAGTGAAAAAAAAAAAAAAATAGAATATAACTTGTAGAATAAGAATAAAAAGGAAGTATTTAATACAGTTTTACAATGTGTGTTTTAAGCTAAGTGCTATTACAAAAAAAGTCACAAAGTTAATAAAAAGTAAAAGGTTTACAATGTAAAAATGTTTCCATAAACTAAGGATAGTTTCTAATTGAAGAAAGAAAAATACTTTTTAATGCATTTAATATAGACTAAGTGTACAAAGTTGATAAAGTCTGTAGTCATGTACACGACTGTCCTGGCTCTTCACATTCAGTCACCACCCACTCACTGACTCACCCAGAGCAACTTCCAGTCCTGCAAGCTCCATTCATGGTAAATGCCCTAGACAGGTTACCATTTTCTGTATTTTATACAGTATTTTTACTGTGCCTTTTCTATATTTAGATACACATATACTTACCACGGAGTGACAGCTGTCTTCAGTATTCACTACAGTACCATGCTGTACTCGTCTGTAGCCTAGGAGTGACAAGCTATCCCAGACACTTATGGCCCAGGATTGTGGTAGGATACACCATCTGGGTTTGTGTAAGTACATGCTGTGATGCTCACACAACGACAACATCACCTAACGACGCCTTTCTCAGAACACATCCCCATCGTTAAGCAACGCATGACTGTATTTGTATTCAAACAGAACTGATATCTGGACGTACGGTTTGAAATTGTTGAAAAGGCTCATTTCTAGCTTGGGCAACATGGGGAGACACCATCTGTACAAAAGTCAAAATTAAACCTTAGCCCGGCACGGTCGCACAAAGGTGTGGTCCCAGCTACTCAAGAGACTGAGGTACGGGGGTCAATGGGCCCAGGAGGTCGAGGCTGCAGTGAGCTGTGATCATGCCACTGGCACCTCAGCCTGGGCGACAGAGTGAGACCCTGTCCTCCCCGACCCCCGCCAAAAAGAGACTCACTTTTAGAAAGTGAAGTGGAGGTTAAAGAAGACTCTCATTAGAACGGGCACGGTGGCTCACGCCTGTAATCCCAGCACTTTGGGAGGCTGAGGCAGGTGGATCACCTGAGGTTGGGAGTTCGAGGTCAGCCTGACCAACATGGAAAACCCCATCTCTACTAAAAATACAAAAAAAAAAGAAATTAGTCGTGCGTGGTGGCGTATGCCTGTAATCCCAGCTACTCGGGAGGCTGAGGCAGGAGAATCACTAGCACCCGAGAGGCGGAGGTTATAGTGAGCCGAGACCACCCCATTGTACACCAGCCCGGGAGACAGAGCGAAACACTGTCTCAAACATAATAATAATAATAATAGTAATAATAATAATTTTGCATTGGTAGATGTAGTGCTTTGTTATAATTAAACGACTTGTGATATAAGTGCTGTCTGTGTATGTCTTTGTGTGTTGGTGTGTCTGTCATAATTTTTTTTTTTTTTTTGAGACTGAGTTTCGCTCTGTCGCCCAGGCTGGAGTGCAGGGGCGCGATCTCGGCTCACTGCAAGCTCTGCCTCCCGGGTTCACGCCATTCTCCTGCCTCAGCCTCCCAAGTAGCTGGGACTACAGGCGCCCACCACCATGCCCGGCTAATTTTTTTGTATTTTTAGTAGAGACGGGGTTTCACCGTGTTAGCCAGGATGGTCTCGATCTCCTGACCTCGTGATCCGCCCGCCTCGGCCTCCCAAAGTGCTGGGATTACAGTCGTGAGCCGCCACGCCCGGCCTGTCATAATTTATAAATGTTCTAAGAGCAAGGAGTATGTTCTTCAGATTTTTTTAACCCTTGAGGCACTCCCTATGACTTATTCATTTAACAAACCAACCTAGACGTGCAGACCTCTGAGCTGAGTTCCTCAATCCAGAAACCTGCTCACCATTTTCACTTGCATGCTGCTAGGCAACACTGAAAGAATGCAGGAACACAGACATAGCGAGAGGGCCTCAGCCAGGTCACGAAATGCCTTCTACCCTCTTGGGCGCACACAGGTGCTGTAGCCAGGCGTAAGGAAATCCAAGTGCCTCTCTCAGGCTTGGCCCATTCCTTATAAATGCAATGGCCCACAGTATTGGTGAACAGGGGTTTCTTGCAATTACGCAGTGTTGCAGCTCCGCTGAGGGAAGACTGGAGACGGACCCTGATGGCAGCCTGGGTTCATCAGCAGCCCAAAGCGCTGGGGAAACTTCAGACCCACAGGGATCACCAGCACATCCACTGAGGCAGAGGCGCGCACCACATCAAATTGCCCAATCTCCCGTCAGGTCCAGAGAGAAAATGAGCACCATGAGAATTTGTCCCTTGATATAAAAAGAATTTACTACCTCACATAAGTAAAATTAGGGGACTCAATTCATTGCTGTTCTAAAACCATAAATACCAATGAGCCATTTGCTCCCCTCCCCTGTTCCCAACAATCATTATACGGCTAAGAAAACAGCTGAGGCATAATTGGTCCCATGCTACCTAGAACAGAATCATGCATTTTGTTTTTTCTCTCTCGTTTTATCTGCTGAAAATAGGGCCAAAATATTTTGACATCTTCTTTTTACTAATATTTTTGTGTATGAAAGAGAAAGAACCCATTGTCCTACATAGTGAAAAAAATCACATAAAGTGTATTATTACATTAAGGAGCTACAGCATGGCCTGTTCTATTTTTATTTATTTATTTATTTTGAGACGGAGTTTTGCTCTTTTGCCCAGGCTGGAGTGAAGTGGTGCAATCTCTGCTCACTGTGACTTGCAACCTCCATCCCCCCAGGTTCAAGCAATTCTCCTGCCTCAGCCTCCCTAGTACCTGGGATTATAGGCACCCGCCATCACGCCTGGCTAATTTTTGTATTTTTAGTAGAGATGAGGTTTTACCATGTTGGCCAGGCTGGTCTTGAACCCCTGACCTCAGGTGATCCACGCCCGTTGGCCTCCCAAAGTGCTGGGATTACAGGTGTGAGCCACTGCGCCCAGCCTTATTTTTACTTTTTGGTTTGAAAGGAAGATGTTAGCATACATAGGTTTATAGTTTCAAAAACTGATAAGGAAATTGAGCAAGTATCATGACTTAGGTATGTATATGTAACTATGTTTTCAATGCTCTTATAAAGGCAAAAATGACATCGCAATGCTGAATTTTTTAAAGAAAATAAATATACAGAAATAGCCAAGCAATGTCAGAAAAAAAATCAGACTTAGAGTCAATTAACTAAGAAACTTATCAATATGACTGGGTACTTTTGGGTAGATGTAGTCAGAGAATTAGAGAGTAAAGAGACTATTCTACATGGTGTAGAATTCATAGAATATGTGTGGTACACATACGCAGGCCCTGACGTCCTTTCTTCCTCCCTGTGTGATAGAAAAGCAGACCACAGGGGGCCCCAGCAGCACAGAGAAAGCAAGTACCAAGGAGTCAGTGCTTGGAGGGCAGACAGGTTGAACAGATCCCAGTGTTCCCAATTCTCTGCGTTCTGGGGTTCTAGGGGTTGCAATCACCACTCTAAGTGCTTTCCATTACTTTTGCTGGCTAAAGAGGTTATTTCACTTCCCACTCCTGATTGCTCCCTGTATCCCCTCCTCCCAGTCCTCTTCACTCAGGGCCTTCTCAACATGCTAGAAAAATTAGTCTAAGGCCGGGTGCAGTGGCCCACACCTGTAATCCCAGCACTTTGGGAGGCTGAGGCAGGCGGATCACCTGAGGTCAGGAGTTCAAGACCACTAGCCTGGCCAACATGGCGAAACCCCGTCTCTACTAAAAACACAAAAATTAGCTGGGTGTGGTGGCGGGCGCCTGTAGTCCCAGCTACTCAGGAGGCTGAGGCAGGAGAATCACTTGAACCCGGGAGGCAAAGCTTACAGTGAGCCAAGATCATGCCACTGTACTCCAGCCTGAGTGACAGAGTGAGACTCCATCTCAAAAAAAAAAAGCTTAGTAAATTGATAAACCAGTCACCTGATTTGGAGAAGGGGTCATGAGGGTATGTTGGCCTGTTCTCACACTGCTATAAATATCTGAAACTGGAAAACTTATGAAGAAAACAGGTTTAGTTGGCTCACGGTTCCACAGGCCGTGCAGGAAGCAAGGCAGCATCTGCTTCCAGGAGGCCTCAGGGAGCTTTTACTCATGGCAGAAGGCAAAGCAGGAACTGGTGTCTTGCGTGGCAAGAGCAGGGGCAAGAGAAAGTTGCAGAGCCACACACTTTTAAACAACCAGATTTCACAACTTATCCAAGGGGGATGGTGTTAGACCATGAGAAACTGCCCCCATGATCCAATCACCTCCCACCAGGCCCACCTCCAACACTGGGGATTATAACTGAGCATGAGATTTGGGTGGGGGCACAAAGCCAAACCATATCGGGGGGTATTAAGCAAATTACTTCTTTGAATAAATTATCCACACTTCTGGATATGTAGACATAGTTCTGGAGGGTTATAGCTTAGAAAAGGCTAGAAGCTCATGTTGGGGATTGACTTTCTCTTTTAGTTTTCTATTTTTTAAGGGAGAGGGTCTCACTCTGTCACTCAGGCCAGAGTGCAGTGGCGTGATCCTGGCTCACTGCAGACTTGAAATCCTGGGCTCAAGCCATCTTCCCGCCTCAGCCTTCCAAGTGGCTGGGACTACAGGTTTGCACCACCATATCTGGCTAATTTGTATTTTTTTTGTAGGAACCAGGTCTTGCTTTGTTGCCCAGCTGGTCTCAAACTTCTGGTCTCGAGCAATCCTCCCACCGCAGTCTCCCCAAGTGTTGGGATTACAGGCATGAGCCACTGTGCTCTACCAGAGTTGATGTTCAAATTTTTATAGAGAACGAAAGAATTTCACTGGTAACTGTCAGAGCAGTCCTTAAGGATATGTCAGAAAGAAAAAAAATTATGATTTGAGATAGAAAAAATGCCAAATGTATATAACAGAAATGCACAGTAACAGGGAAGCGACGGGAAGGACAGCAGACCCAAGACACTCCATTTCTGGATGGCGTGGATGCACCATATCGTTTAGGTGAAGAAAGGCAACATAAAACATTAACATCAATTTTTTTTTTTAAAGGTTGTAGTCTATGTAAGTTTATAGAAAGTTCCCCATATTTTTAGTGATGATACCATTTTGAGAGGTGGCTTATGGAGTATGAGACAAAGCATAATTCAAAGGTGTCACTGTGATGTCACAGGGAATCAAAACCACAGGGGGCTCAATGGGACTAGGCCTGGACATGCCAAGTTATCAGGTCACAAAATCCATTATGTTTACAAACTTAAGACTTCTGCTCAATTTTTCTCTATATCCCCAAAATTTTACTAATTTAGCACTTGGCATTAAACATTATTGGCCAATAATAATAAATATTGTATCAGTAGACTATATTACATTTTGCAAAACATTTTCAGGTCCATCAATTTTGCTCTCCACATAGTCAATCATTTATTCATTCAACAAATACAGATTGAATGATAACCACATACAAACCAGCATTGGGGGTGCTTGAGAAACATTGAATGTATCATTGTCAACAGACAAAGATACCTCCCCTTGTGGTGTTTACATTTAGCACAAAAAGGCAAAACATACATAAATTAAATAAGCCTAACAATATAGTACGACGACACGTACTGTATGGGGAACAAAGAGCCTCCACTGAGCCTGGCAAGGGCGACTGGAAAGGTGAGCTCTAGATGGGCTCTGGGGGGAGTAGGGCTGTGTGGTATCACTGAGAAGCTGGATCTCAGAAGAGTTAAGGAAGAAAGGGAATAATGAGTCAAGGGGATATCAGGGAAAAGGGAATGTCAAGCAGAAGCCACAGGCGGGGAAATGGCCCTGTGATGGGAAGTGCCTGCTTTGGTGGAAACCCAGCCATGAGGCCAGGGCAGCTGGAGCAGAATGCAAAGGGAAGTGGGGGTGGGAGAGATAATCAGAGGAGGGATGGGGGTTCAGATCCTCTAGGGCCTGGGGGTTCACATCCTCTAGGGCCTGGGGATTCACTGTGAGGATTCTGACTTTCACTCTAAGTTGAATGGGAGGTCTTTGTGATGGTATCTAAGTCACTGTGATGCCAACATATCCTTGGGTGCTAAAGGAATCAGCCCAGCTGCTGTAGAGAGAATGGGAGTGGAAGGGCCTAGAGCCCAAGCAGGACCACTGTGAGGAAACGAAAGTCATAATCCAGAGGGGCAGGATGGAGTTCTGACCATGGTTACAGCAGCAGGGTGGCCAGGACAACTGAACCCCGGACATATTCTGAAGGTAGGACCAACAGGGCTTGCCGATGGACTGGATGTGGGCTGGAGAAATCAAGAAAGTACTCAATCGGATGCCTGGCTTAAGCAATCAAAAGAATGGAGTTGCCATCCAGTGACAGGGAGAAGCCTGTGGTTTTTGTTGTTGCAGTTAGGGAGAGACTTGGGGAGAAATTTGTGGGTAAGTTTTAGGCAAATTGAGTTCAAAATGTCTATTTTGATGTCAAGTGGACAGCTGAATATAAAAGACTACCATTCAGAGGAAAGGAGAGGGAAAGCCAGGAAACGGGTATGGATGTCGAGGATTTTGCTGGTAACGAAACAAAGTTCCAGAGGAAATAGTGGCAATCTTTCAGGAGTTGGAAAGGGAAAGAGAAGAGTCATTACAGGAGACACACAAAACTATGAACCTAAGAATGCAAGAGATGAAGACTCACATTGGTTTACTGACTGATATAAACCACAATAATATGCACAGTGAGACAGGATTCAGCAGAGACAGTGAGACCAGAGTACTGGGCTACACAGTGGGAAATGGATACTCCTGGGACTGGGACACTCATTCCATCCTATGGAGAGAGTAGAAGACATGTGGAGGTGTTCTCCCTCCCACCCAGGGCTTCCCCGTCTCACTGAATGGGTGGTGCCCCATGGAAGGGGTATCTCAAGCCACCCACCTGATCCCTGTGGGAAGGGATGCTGTTGCTGAGCTGAAGTCCACCTTCCCTACACAGACCTTGCATGAACGAGGGCTAGGGCACACATGGCCTGTGGAACACCAAGAAGAGGGACACGAGGATGCGTTATTTCCTCTGTTTGCAAATCTATCACAGAGAGTAGAAGTGTTCGCTCATGATCAAACAATTAAAAAATCTAGGAAGAAGGCTACGTTAGTAATATGATTGGAAGGTAAGTTAAAGATGTCAGTCGAAAAAATCTCCCTGGAAGAGAAAAACATCTTGAACTTCAAATTGAGGAGGAAAATTAAACCTTCTGCAGATTATTATCAGATAATGTTAAATAATTTGCCATTAATTAATATTTGGTTAGCATTGAAGCATTTACCATTTAAACATTTTAGCATTTGTGTAATATTTATTTATTTATTTATTTATTTATTTATTTATTTATTTATTTTTGAGATGGAGTCTTGCTCTGTTGCCCCGGCTGGAGTGCAGTGGCGCGATCTCGGCTCACTACAAGCTCTGCCTCCTGGGTTCATGCCATTCTCCTGCCTCAGCCTCCCAAGTAGCTGGGACAACAGGCACCCACCACCACGCCCAGCTAATTTCTTTTTGTATTTTTAGTAGAGACGGGGTTTCACTGTGTTAGCCAGGATGGTCTCAATCTCCTGACCTCGTGATCTGCCCACCTCGGCCTCCCAAAGTGCTGGGATTACAGGCGTGAGCCACTGTACCCAGACATAATAATTATTTAGAAGACAGTGATACAAAGAAGGCAGTAAGGTTAGCCTTCAATGACTTTTAACCTTTTTGTTGGAAAGGTACAGAATATACTTTAAAAATAAGTTAAATATTATCATGATTTCATCATCATCATTATAATGTATTTAAATGGAAAAGCTGAATTCAAACCAGCAATATCAAATATGACCTTAAATATTTACCATAACACAGTGAGGCCAGTATAATTGTTCCATGTATAGGAACCATAACAAGCAGCTAAAAGAGAGAGAGAAGTGTTGTTTGAGGTCTTTTTTCTTTTTTGAGATGGAGTCTCGCACTGGGCTGGAGTACAGTGGTGAGATATTGGCTCACTGCAACCTCCGCCTCCAGGGTTCAAGCAATTCTCCTGTCTCCACCTCCAGAATAGCTGGGATTACAGGCTCCTGCCACCATGCCCAGCTAATTTTTCTATTTTTTTTTTTTTTTTAGTAGAGACAGGGTTTCACCATGTTGGCCAGGCTGGTCTTGAACTCCTGAGCTTGTGATCCACCCGCCTCAGCCTCCCAAAGTGCTGGGATTACAGGCGTGAGCCACTGCACCCAGCCTTAAGGTCTTATAACTAGTAAATATCTGCATTAAAGAACGAGTTGAATGAAAATTCTGATAAATTCCTACTTAAAGTGTATCCAAAGAAAACGGAAAAAGTCTAGGAGTTAGTGATATTAGATTCAGAAGAATGAGCTTTGTAATTCTTAAAAATTAGTCTCAGAATAGAAAGGATTTTAAAAGTAATTGAGTAAAGTCATAGGAAATGTGACCATATAAAGGAATGGCTCTAAATGTATTAATCCAGAAGGAAGCAACAGGTTAAACAGTAAGAGGTAAGAAACAAAAAATAAGGAACAAGAGAGAGAGAGTGACAGGGAGAGAGAGACAGAGCGGGGAAGGAGAGAATGAGAAGGAAAATCAGGAAAACGAGGAGAAACAGAATTAAGGAGGTGATACTGGAATAGTATCAGACCATTCTGAATCAATTTAAGAATTGCCATGTCTAATTCTTATATGGAAGATTTGAAATACAAGGATATTGAAAGGAATAACAAATTATAATGAATGCATAGAAATCCTTATGTAATCCAAGGTCATTAATTTGAAGGAAGACATCAAGAAAATGTGATCTAGAAATAGAGGTTGAGATTGCTCCATTTACAAAATTATTATGCTCTATAATCTTCCCATATGCAAATATTTCATATTCCCTCTTTTGTCCCATGGACATATTTCACAGCAACAACGAATCAAGTGCTGACCTAAATGGGGTATCTGTTAAAACTTAGTATATTGATATCCTTCACCCCACTCCAGGAACGTTCGCTACGCTAGGACTGCATCTTGGGAACAGAATTTTAGAGATGATCATCTCTTACATCAGAAGCAGGATCTAAATGATCCCTGGATGCCCAATTTCCTGACCCTGCTATTGTTGTGGGTGGCAAGATAAGAGGAGTTGCATCACAGATGAAAAAGTAAGGCCGAAGAAGACCAGAGAAGAGTTGGTTGAATGTGTAGATATAAGATCCATCTGTGACATTGTAGAATGAAATTTCACCGGCTTCATAGTCCAAGAAAATCCCAATGCAGCGAGGACTTTCCAGTTGGAGAAGAGGCACTGATGGGGAGGCAAGGACCATGTACTCATTCCCTTTCAGCAGCCACAGGGCCCAGACCCCATTCTCAGGAGATGGCGTGGTTTCCCCCTTTCTTGGCAGTGTGTCTTGACAGACCCCTAAACCCCACTCTGCTCCTTCTCCCACCAGAACCTCCCAGTAATGCCTCCCTGATGAGAAGCTCTGCAAACCCAGGATGCAGGGCCATGTGTCAAATCGCTCAGGGTTGTTGGGGACATCCCTCCATGGTTCTCCATCCTGCACACTGCGCAGGTCGGCGGTCAAGAGCAGACTCGGGTGCGCCGTGGCGGGATCCAGCTTTACATCCACTGCGGAAAGAATGTGGTGGACCAGGTGAAAGGAAAGAAAGGACTGGTAGAAACTTAGGAAACCACTGAAAAGAATAGTCCCACAGTTCCTCACTTTTCTCTCTCTATTAACTCCTAGAGAAAACAAATCAGTATTTCACCTTACAGGTGAAATCTTCTTTATTACTTTATTATTCTTATTCTTTATAACTTTCTGGTATATTCCACTGTTACCTCTGCGTAACCCAGAACTCTTTAACTTTCCCAAAAAAAAACAACTATTGATGACGACAAACCAAGTGAATTATCATTTAGTTTCCTTTCATTTACATCTAAAGCATTTGTGTGTGTGTGTGTGCGTGAGAGAGAGAGAGAGAGACAGAGAGACGGGGTCTTGCTATGTTGCCCAGGCTGGAGTGCAGAGCTATTCATGGGCATAGCCGTGGTACACTACAGCCTCAAACTCCTGGACTCAAGCAATCCTCCCGTGTCTGCCTCCCCAGCAGCTGGGACTACAGGTGCACACCACCATGTCTGGCTTACATCCAAAGCATTTGAGTGCACTTAGGAGGATCTTCTGCATTTAACATAAAATTTATAAACCCCTTAGGAATTTTTTTCTTAAAAATCTATAGAATTTTATTAATATTAAATCCACTACTTCCAAAGTTATATTACTGTGGTAGGCGGAATTCTAAGATGGACCCCATGACCTTCACACCCTGGTGTTAGCCTCATGAGTATGTTACACTATATGACAAGAGAGAGATTATCAAGGTGCGTCTAATCAAATCCCACAAGTCCTGTAAAATCAGAAAGTTTTCTCTGGCTATTGGGTTGGTGGCAGCAGGAAAGGTCAATAAGATGTGGATTTGATATCTCTTTGCTGGCTTTGAAAATGGAAAGGTCACATGAAGAGACAAACGAGTGACCTCTAGAGCTGAGAGTGATCTCCAGAGCTGAGAATAGCCCCCAACCAACAGCCAGCAAGAAAACAGGAATCTCAGTACCGCATTTGCACAGAATTGTATTATGCCAACAACCTGAATAAGGTTGGAGGTAAGGTTCTTCCCCCGACCTACACAGAAGCCTGGCCTGGCCTGGCCAACACCCATATTTGGGCCTTGAGAAAACCTAAGCAGAGGAGCCAGCTGATCCCACTTGGATGTCTGGTCTTCAGAACCATGAGCTACTAAATGGTATGGCTTTAAGCACATAAGCTTGTAGTTATGCGTTATATAACAATAAAAAATACTGATACTCTGAAGTCCCAGTGAGATTGATGAGACATTTGACCCATATACATAATAAATAAATACATCTAGATATGAAACCTCAGTGAAGGGGGGATGTAAAATATTCAGTGCATTTCCTTATTAGCATTGCTTATAAGTAGTAAGTTAATAAATAATATGGTTTGGATGTGTATCGCCTCCCGGTCTCATGTTGAAATGTGATTCCCAATGTTGAAGGTGGGGCCTAGTGGGGGGTGCTGGATCATGGGTGCAGATCCCCCATGAATGACTTAGTGCCATCCCACTGGTGATAAGTGAGTTCTTTATCCGTTCATGCAAGAGCTGGTCGTTTAAGAGGAACCTGGGGCCTCCCCACTTCACTGCTTCCCTCTTGCCATGTGATACGCTGGCTCCTCCTTTGCTTTCCACCATGACTGTAGGTGTCCTGAGGCCTCACCAGAAACAGGTGCCAGCACCATGACTCCTGTACAGCCTACAGAACCATGAGCCAAAATAAAGCATATTTCCTTATATTAATAAATTACCCAGCCTCAGGTATTTCTTTATAGCAATGCAAAATCAGACTAACATGTTAATATAGTTTGATTTTTAATATCAGAACAAATACTGTTTCTACTGCTACTGCTACTGCTACTGCTACTACCACTACCACTATACTTATTTGCCTTTAAACACTTACAGTGAACTACTTTTTTTTTTGAAACGGAGTCTCGCTCTGTTGCCCAGTCTGGAGTGCAGTGGTGCAATCACAGCTCACTGCAGCCTCCACCTCTCAGACTCAAGCCATCCCCTGACCTCAGCCCTCTGAGTAGCTGGGAAGGCACACACCACCATGCCCAGCTAGTTTTCTGTATTTTTTTGTAGAGAAGGGGTTTTGCCATGTTGCCCAGGCTGGTCTCGAACTCCTGGGTTCAAGCAATCCATCCGCCTCAGCCTCCCAAAATGTTGGGATTACAGGCGTGAGCTGCCACGCCCGGTCTAGTGAATTTTTATTGATACCCAACCTGAGTGGTCACGTAACTGCGCATTGCATTATTTTTATTATGTAACCACCCTGAGGGTCACCATTGTCATCCCTACATTACACAAGAGTAGATTCAGAGTCAAAGAGTTTATGTGGTCTTCCCAAACTCTAGAGGTAAATAACAGAGATTGAAAGGTAGGTCTCCATGGATTGTGCATTTAACACAATCTAACAGGTCATGTATTCCCAAGCCATTCCTCTTCCGGCACAGTGGTCTGCTTCATTTCTAACAAAAGAGATCTGTGAAATGGCTTTTGATATGGTCTGTATCCCATTCCTCTCCCTACCCCTTCTCTCCTAAACTCAATTCTTCATCATGATGTGACCATACCCCAACCAAACTGCGCATGTCCATCTTCCCAGGGACCTCCGTGTTGATGAATGGTTACTTGTCAGTTTGTCTTTTTTTTAAGATGGAGTTTTGCTCTTGTTGCCCAGGCTGGAGTTCAATGGCATGATCTTGGCTTACTGCAACCCCCATCTCCCGGGTTCAAGTGATTCTCCTGCCTCAGCCTCCCGAGTAGCTGGGATTACAGGCATGCACCACCACGCCTGGCTAATTTTGTATTTTTAGTAGAGACAAGGTTTCCTCAGGTTGATCAGGCTGGTCTCGAACTCCTGACCTCAGGTGATCTGCCCGCCTCGGCCTCCCAAAGTGCAGGGATTTACAGGCGTGAGCCACCGCGCCCGGCCCAGAGTTCATCTTCAATGATTTTTCTGTATCTCTCAACACTGAGAATCTACTTGTGCTGGAAAATCTCCCTTTTCCAAAGGTAACACTCATCCATGTTTCCCTTCCCTCACTGCTCACTACTCCTTGATCCTCTTTGCTGTTCTCTTCTCCTCCACCACCACCACTGGAGAAACCTATAGTCCCAAGACTTGGACTTCTTCTCTCTCTCTCACCTCACTCCCTATCTACCCGGGTGCTGGCTGGTTCATTGCTTTGATAAAATTCCATTCATATGCTGACTGATTCCCAATGCATGTGCTTAGCTTTGAACTTTACCCTGAAACTCCCTATTGTACATTCATCTGCCCACTTGATAGCAACATTTGAATATTTAGCACTCATCGCAACATCCACATATCCAAAACCCTGTGCCCTTCTTCTGCTTCAACTGTCGCTTTCCTCATCAATATAAGTGGCAATCACATTTTGCCAGTTCGCAAGATCCAAAACCTTGGAATCATTCATGGCTCTTCCTGTTTATAGCACATCATATATAATCCAACAGCAAATCTTAACAGCTCTGCCTTCAGTATATAACAAAAATCTGTCCATCTTGCGGCACCTTCCGTAATAACATCTATTCCAACACATAATCATCTCTCATCAAATTACTGCAAAGACCCTTAACTGCTTTTCCCATGTCAATCTTCTCCTCTCTGTAATTTACTTACAAGAAAGCATATAGAGTGATCCTCATAAAACATTAGTCCAATCAAACTATTTTTCTAGGTACAACTTTCAACTATGTCCTATTTCGCTCAGGGATAAAGTATCATGCTCAGCATGGCCTGCCTATCTAGCCCTTTCTTGGTCTCTCCGACCCTCCTGTCATTTACTCTGCCACAGAGTCCTCACACTGACATCCTCACAGCTCCTGGAACACACCTGCCATCCTCCACGTCAGGCCTTGGCGCTCATTTCTGCTGCCTGAATGCTTTCTTCCAGATCATATATTTGCTGGGTTATCCCCTGCAGGGCGGGGTCTTTCCTGGTCACCTTATTCAAAACTAGAACTTCTCATTACCCTTTGCATACTCTTTTTGATTTTCTTCAATATTCTGTGTCAGCCACTTACAGCCTGTGTATTTTGGTGAAGTACATATCTGCAACACAAAGCTACGGATTGTAGAGTATTTTGTTGTTGTTGTTGAATGATATATTCCAATGTTTAAAAGAATGGGTGAGATAAAATTAATCACACATTTTGAATGATTTCATTCCATAAAAACAAATATGGATATGAGGTTGCTGAGTCTGAGGGTGCCATGACGATTTTAATCAAGTTGGGCATTTAGCATACATTCATCTACCCAGGAGAACGTGGGTACTATGCTGCAGAGATGGGTTTTCTCATTAAGGGACTTTACACTCTTTCCCTCTAAGTAGTGAAGTCACTATTTAGACATAGTTTTCATTACTTGGGATAAATTAGATTTTAAAATGAAATTGTAAACAATACTGAATCTATACTGTTTTAAAGAATAATACAATCAGACTAAACACACTAATTTTTTGTGACACTGCTTATTCCTACATGAAAATAACTGACAATATTTTTGGCTTTATTGACTCACTAATTCAAGCAACTCATCAAATTCTCAGCCAATAAATTAAACCAAACTTCTTGCTAATTGATAACTTTGCAGTGCTTTCATATTGATTACTTTTAGGAGGTGGGGTGCTTTCAAATGTTTCATTTTGTCCTCCAAGCAATTTATTTTTAGCATTTTATAAGCAAGGAAATGTAAATTTACTGGAAGTAACGTTACTCATATCAGCTAATAAGAGATGACCTACAGTTTTAAGCCCATAGTCTAACCAAATGTAGACTCTATGGGTGGCCGTGACTCTGATACTGCTCATGAATATACTAATCCTCGTTCTTCTGGGCGTGGTGGTGCAGGCTCTATGGGTGGCCGTGACTCTGATACGGCTCATGAATATACTAATCCTCGTTCTTCTGGGCGTGGTGGTGCAGGCTCTATGGGTGGCCGTGACTCTGATACGGCTCATGAATATACTAATCCTCGTTCTTCTGGGCGTGGTGGTGCAGGCTCTATGGGTGGCCATGACTCTGATACTGCTCATGAATATACTAATCCTCGTTCTTCTGGGCGTGGTGGTGCAGGCTCTACGGGTGGCCGTGACTCTGATACTGCTCATGAATATACTAATCCTCGTTCTTCTGGGCGTGGTGGTGCAGGCTCTACGGGTGGCCGTGACTCTGATACTGCTCATGAATATACTAATCCTCGTTCTTCTGGGCGTGGTGGTGCAGGCTCTATGGGTGGCCGTGACTCTGATACTGCTCATGAATATACTAATCCTCGTTCTTCTGGGCGTGGTGGTGCAGGCTCTATGGGTGGCCGTGACTCTGATACTGCTCATGAATATACTAATCCTCGTTCTTCTGGGTGTGGTGGTGCAGGCTCTATGGGTGGCCGTGACTCTGATACTGCTCATGAATATACTAATCCTCGTTCTTCTGGGCGTGGTGGTGCAGGCTCTATGGGTGGCCGTGACTCTGATACTGCTCATGAATATACTAATCCTCGTTCTTCTGGGCATGGTGGTGCAGGCTCTATGGGTGGCCGTGACTCTGATACTGCTCATGAATATACCAATCCTAATTTTTCTGGGCATGGTGCACTCTCCCACGGAAGGAGACCAGGGAATTTTACCCTAAAATATGGCACCCTGGTATGCCCATTATTTTAAATTAAAGGCCCTTGGAGACCATCACACACTGTAAGAAGCTTTATTCTAACACTCATTTATCTGCCTGAAGTCCCTGCATTTTAATTAATTTAGCTCATATTGCAGGAAGACAGACAAGTCTATCAATACACCTGGACAGACTTTAGTCACAAACCACTGTCTACTTTTCAACACTTTGTCCCAAGCCACTGTATGCACTCCAAGCCCAATGAATCCTCCAAAAAATCATTTACTATCTCCCTAAAATCATCCACACCTCCCCATCTCCCTTTCCTCCAATAAAGAAAGGTATATAAGCATCTGTATCCCACTGCGTTATTGGGTCATTACTCTCCTGCGATTCCACTGTGCTATGAATGTTAGACTTTTTCTATGCCTTTGTTCCTATTTGTCTTTGGTCAGTTGATTTTCAGCAAACATTCATAGGGAAAGGGGAAAGTTTTCCCTTGCCCCCTACACTGTCTCCTTGATAGTTTGACTTAGCCATGAAATCTCAGGAAGGCCAGATGCTCTAATTCAGCATGGGTACCTTTAAGAGGAGTGCATGAGTCACCATGCCTATGATACTGTGAAGTACGTATTTGGTCTACAGTGCAGGAGGCACCATACCTATGACACTGGGAAGTATATATTTGGTCTACATTCACCATGCCTATGATACTGTGAAGTGTGTATTTGGTCTATATCCTGTTTACTGACATACAGTTCTTAAAATCCTTGAAATTTCCAGAAATACAAGAGTGTCTTTTGTAAGCTAATAAGATGAATTGTGGTTGGTGATTACCCAGAAAGCCTCCCACTGGGTGTGGTTGCCAGGGGAACCAACCATGTGATTAGAGGCTTGAAACTTTCAGTCCTTCACGCCTCACCCCCCCCCACCTCTGAAGAGGGAGAGGGGCTTAAGGGTGGGTTGGTAAACCAATGGCCTATGATCTAATCAATCACGTCTACATAGTGCTTCCATAAAAACCCAAAATAACTGAGTTCATTGGCCAGGCACAGTGGCTCACGCCTGTCATCTCAGCACTTTAGGAGGCCGAGGCAGGCAGATCATTTGAGGTCAGGAGTTCGAGACCAGCCTGGCTAACATGGTGAGACCCCGTCTCTACTAAAAATATAAAAATTAGCCAGGCATGGTGGCATGTGCCTGTAATCCCAGCTACTCGGGAGGCTGAGGCAGGAGAATCGCTCGAACATGGGAGGTGGAGGTTGCAGTGAGCTGAGATGGCGCCACTGCACTCCAGCCTGGGCGACAGAGTAAGACTTCATCACACACACAAAAAAAAGAACTGAGTCCTGAGGACTTCCAGATCACTGAACACACGGAGGTTCCAAAGGTAGCAGGCCTAGAAAGGGCGTGGAAGCTCCGTACCCCTTCTCACAAACCTCGCCCTAAGAATCTCTTCCATCTGTTCATCTCTAGCCTCTGTAACGCCCTTATAATAAATGAGTAAATATGTGTCCCTAAGTTTTGTCAGCTGTTTCAGGAAATTAAGTGAACTCAAGAAGAGGGTTGTGGGAACCCCAGTTTACAGTCAGTTGGTCAGAATCACAGACCACAACCTGTGCTTGTGACCAGCATCTGAAGTGGGGTCAGTCTTGTGGGACAAAGCCCTCAACCCGGGGAACCTGGTGCTATCTCCAGATAGATAGTGTCAAAATCAAATTGCATGGAAGGACATCTGGCTGGAGTATCTGCTGGAGAACTGATTGGCTGTTTGCGGAGAGAAATCCCCACACATTTTGGTGACCAGAAGTGATGTGTTGTATTGACTCTGGAAGAGAACTTCTTCCCCCATCTCTTCAATAACCCTGCCCTTTTCTATGGCTCCCAGCACCAAGAGGGAGGTAGAGCTCTGTCAGTATGGGTACCAGAGTGAGAAGATGTGGCACAGAAGTCCCCACACCTAGGAACAAACCAACAGCACACTCTCAAAATAAATTTCTGCTGATCTGGGCCACTAAGACTTTAGGTTCTGTTGGTCACTGCAGCTGACTGGCATAGTGACAAACCACAATACGAGGCAAACCCCAGGCAGCCTCATTCCCAGTCTCTAAGATGCAACTACCTTGGAACTTCTTCAAACCCCAGGCAGCCTAATTCCCAGTCTCTAAGATGCAACTACCTTGGAACTTCCTTAAGAGCTCCCTCCTCCCAGGGATGCAGCATGCTGTCTTCAGTTCCATGGGGATGTTCTCTGCTTCCAGCCTTGTGACAGCCTTACTTCTGGGAAGAGCACAGAAACCACAGAAGTCAGCAGGGTTCTCCACCAGCTCCTCTGCCTCTCCCAATCCCTTCACCAATTCAGAAAGCACACATACCTGCTCAGGACTCCTCTCACACCCTGAAAAGGAAAGAAAAACACAGTGTGAGTTGGACTCTGAACTGCTTTTCACAGTCAGACTGAAGACCCCATAAAAATTTCCTTAGAAACTACTGCAAAACATTATTGAGATAAAATTATAGGGGACAATAAATCTCTTTTCTATTTTTTTTTTGAGATGGAGTTTCGTTCTTGTTGCCCAGGCTGCTGGAGTGCAATGGCGCAATCTCGGCTCACTGCGACCTCCACCTCCCTGCCTCAGCCTCCCAAGTAGCTGGGATTACAGGCTCCCGCCACCACGCCTGGCTAATTTTTTTTATTTTTTTGTATTTTCAGTAGAGATGGGGTTTCACCATGTTGGCCAGGCTGGTCTCGAACTCCTGACCTCAGGTGATCCACCCACCTCAGCCTCCCAAAGTGCTGGGATTACAGGCGTGAGTCACCACACTCAGACAAATCTCTTTTCTTTAAAGCTATACAAAGTTTAGGTTAATTCCTGCAACACCTATCAATTTAATTATCTTCTGAATTAATAATTCTGCTACTTGGATATTGTAACAGAGTAACATTCTGCATGTAATTCAGACGGAACAGGATAAAATAGATCCTAAGTACTCATAGAATTTATTTGAGGGGCATGGATAGGTTCCTCAAATAAAGACACAAAATGTTTCCCTAAATATCTTTATAGGAATTATAAATTCCTAATTCTCTGAACCAACGTACCAGAGCTATTCCTATGAGGAGGTTATCTAAATAGATTAATAAAGGAAGCCTTTAATAACTAGTAACATTATTTTCTCAAAGTAGATTATTAAATAAATATATCTGTGATACATTTATTATATTAATAATTGTATTTGGGATACATTTCCCCTCTCCCCTTAAAAACAGTTGCCAGTCAGATAAGTTTTAATGACATAAAAGCAGGGGAATAATTTGCTTTACCCTGTATGGGAATGTCAGGCCTTGGTCTTGGCCTTCAGGGGTAAAATGTAGCTTATTAGTACCAGGGAAGAAAGGGAAAGGAAAGTATAAAAATATACAGCCTGGGCAACACAACCAAGCCTCATCTCTACTAAAAATTTGTTTTAAATTAGCTGGGCGTGGTGGTGCACACCTTTAGTCCCAGCTACTCGGGAGGCTGAGGCACAAGGATCACCTGATCCTAGGAGACTGAGGCTGCAGTGAGCTATGATTGAGCCACTGCACTCCAGCGTGAGTGACAGAGTGAGATCCTGCCCTTTTAGAAAAATAGATAGATAAGATACCTTATTTAAGAATATATCCTCCCATGCCAGGCGGGGTGGCTCATGCCTACAATCCCAGCACTCTGGGAGGCCAAGGCAGGCAGAGCAATAAATACTATTGTTGAAATTGTCAAGCCGGGCACAGGGGCTCACGCCTTTAATCCCAACACTTTGGGAGGCCAAAGTGGGCGGATCACCTAAGGTTAGGAGTTCAAGACCAGCCTGGCCAACATGGCAAAACCCCATCTCTAGTAAAAACGCAAAAAAAAAAATTAGCCAGGTGCGGTGGCACATGCCTGTAATCCCAGCTACTCAGGAGGCTGAGGCAGGAGAATCGCTTGAGCCAAGGAGACAGAGGTTGCAGTGAGCCAAGATCACACCACTGCACCCTGCACTCAGCCTGGGCAACAGAGCGAGACTCTGTCTCAAAAAAACAAAAGAAAAGAAACCGTCAAAGTTCTTGTATTTTGCTCTCTGCTATTTGGAAAATTAATTCCTTTCTGACTCTTAGTTTGCTAACAAGGAAATGAACATAGCAATAATAATAAAATATAAATTTAATATATATAAGATAAAATGAGACAAATTAAATGGCTTTATAAATTCATCTAATGGTCCCCTGCCTCATAATCAGTCCTGTTTAGTCATTGTACTTGCAAATATTATACAGACAGTTAATAGGATTATTTATATTCATGGTACTTTCAGTGCCTAGAACTGAGTCAGAAAAGGTGGAATCCGTGGGTCAGCTTTTAAATGAGAACATGCATCACTTAGTTTAGAATCCCCTGCGTGAGTCACTGGGGAGGAGATAGGAGTCGGTCCAGATAAATTTCTGTTGCCATTGGTTCTACCAAGAAAACATGGATCTATCAACAACTTTGGCTTTCCCTGTTCACTTGGGATATGATGCCTCACAGAGGATTAAAAACAAAGATTTCCTTTCACTCTTACTCGTCTTTCTGCTCTCTAATCCCAAACAGACTGGGAGGAAGCTGCACGGGAGTCCACGTAATCCCTCCTCGCCATGCCTGGAACGGGCATGCAATGTGGGCCAGGAAATCAGTGTTTGCTTTACAATCCAATATAACAATTTCAAGCTGGACAATTTAAATCATTATTCATCCTTCTGGCCAGTGACACTGAAATGTATTATGCAGACTTTCTGTGCTAGCCATCCCTAAAAAACAGCAATGCTATCATGGACAAACTGACTCTGAGGTTTTAGGAATTACTTCTCAGCCAGCAGAGTGTAGCTTGTCCTTTCCCTAGCTGTTTAAGTTTTCAGAAATCATTAATTTTAAGAATTCTTTAGTCCTTAAAACAAACTATATGCTGTTTGTTTGTTTTTTGAGACAGGGTCTTGCTATGTTGCCCAGGAAGGTCTCGATTTCCTTGGCCCAAGCGATCCTCCTGTCTCAGCCTCCCTAATAACTGGGACTACAGGCATGTGCCACCATGCCAGACTCAAACTATATGATTCTCTAGAATCTCATGATTCTGATGCCAGGAATGGCTTCTGAGTAAATTCTAGGGTGTTTAAGCTGCCTTCTGAGTAAATTTGAGGGTGCCCTTTTCCTAAAGAACATAAACGCCAAAGTGTTTGTCTCTGAAAGCCATTGTACTAGTCTCTGTCACCTGAGTCTCACATCTGCCTGCTTTTCTGGCACCCGGCCTCACCTCCAGCAGACCCAGGGCCGGGCGCTGGCACCTCTCCTGCAGCTCATCCGCCAGCTCCTTCAGGGCCTTGCTCTGCTGGACCAGCCGGCTCTTGCTCTCCCGCAGTCTCTGCAGCGTCGCTCGCTCCTCCGCCTCCAGCCGCCTCAGCTGCCGTTGCTCCTCCTGGGCCAGAAAGCCACGATGCTTCTCAAACTCCAATCTGAAGCGCTGCCTCTGCATTTCCACTTTCTCCTGAGGTGACACCGTGGATCACATCGTCAGTGCTTGGCCTCCAGCAGCCATGTACAGGACAGTGCTGGAGAAGGTAATGTCCAGACTTCCCCGGGCTCCGTAACTCTGTGGACTCACTGGTTGCATCCTAACAACATGCACAGACTGGAGTCCATTCATATAAGAAGTAGCCCAGGAGAGTTTTCAAATTAAGTTTAAAAAATACTGTTGGACTGGAGTTCCCATTTTGCCACAGGCTTGGGGGCAAGGCACTTTTATACTGAAGTTTCAGTACCATATACAAAATGTGAGGTTTTGGGGAGGTCGAGGCAAGAGGAGTGCTTGAGGTCAGGAGTTCAAGACCAGCCTGGGTAACAAAGCAAAATGCGACCCCATCTCTAAAAAAATTAAAATGAACCGACCAGGCATGGTGGTAAGCCCTGTAGTCCCAGCTACCCACAAGGCTGAGGTGGGAGGATCACTTGTCTAAGAGCTCGAGGCTGCAGTAAGCTGTGATTGCACCACTGCACTTCAGCCTGGGTAACAGAGCAAGACTCCATCTCTTAAAAAATGTGGGGAAAAAGAGGAGTATGTGGATTACAGCTAAATATCTATTAAACTACAAGAACAGTGATTAGCATAGAGCAGTCACACAGCAGAAGTTACTATTTACTACTAGATCAGTCGCTAGAACCACTAGAAACAACTGAATGATGAAGAAATGTTTGTTTGAATAAGAAAAGGCTGAGAGATGAGAAAATATGAATGCTGTTTCATAATATGGTAATAGTGAACACAACCATAAGCCTAACATTCTCTACAAAGCCAAGAAAGAACTAAGTGATGCTCAGGCCACTGATTTCAGAGTTCACGTCAGAGAATTAATCCCAATTTCTACCTGAATCTCACGTCTTCAGTTTCTGAATAGACCTAAGGAACATACTTCGTCCCAGGCTTAGTTTCTAGATTTTCTTCTCTCAAGATAAGTATATCGAAAACTAACTTTAAGCTGAGTACGAGAGGTAAATTATTCCCTCAAAGTATCTATACCTCCCATTCTCTGTCCTGTTTTATCGATTTATTTTATTTTTTGTATATATTCATGGGGTACAAATGCAGTTTTGTTACATTGTTATACGGCCTTGTAGGTGAAGTCATTTGCCTGGTTTTTTTTTTAATCTTTTTTTTGAGACAGAGTCTCGCTCTGTCACCCAGGCTAGAGTGCAGTGGCGCGATCTCGGCTCACTACAACCTCCTCCTCCTGGGTTCAAGTGATTCTCCTGTCTCAGCCTCCCGAGTAAGTGGGATTACAGGCACGCAGCACCATGCCCAGCTAATTTTTGTATTTTTAGTAGAGACAGGGTTTCACCGTATTGGTCAGGCTGGTCTCAAACTCCTGACCTCACGATCGGCCCGCATCGGCCTCCCAAAGTGCTGGGATTACAGGCGTGAGCCACTGTGCCCAGCCTATTTGCCTGTTTTTAAACGTGATAACTTCTTGCTTTGACTAAAAGGCATGAGCTATCACCTTTTTAAACTAAACATCCCCTAAGACTTAACTACTTCCTTCCATTTTCCATCTCTACCTCCTTCCACCATTTTCTAAATCACCAGATTCAGAAAACTTCATCTTCTTTCTGAAATCAGCCAAGTCTGAATTCCATACACTGATTCCTGAAAGTGTAACTCATGTAAATATGAGAAGCTCTCTTCATATCAGAGGCTGTGCTGTCGTGGGGTGGGGCAAATAACGCAGCCACTGGAGAAGGGTAGAGTCATACCTGGGGCACGAGGGGGTGTGAGGTGGGAAGGTGGGAAGCGATTTGCCTGCAATCCATCTTCCTTTCACACCACCCTCTTGAGCACAACTATATCTGCAGACAGAGAAAAAGGAAAGGTGGTTTTGCAGTATTTAGAATAACTTTTGACCAAAGATGTGTTTGCTGCATTTGGCTCACATGGAGACATTCTTGATGGTAATGATCATGCAAGTTTACTTGGCTTAGAACAGGGATCTTAGTATCATCCCTACTTAAGAATAATCTGTAGAGGGCTTAAAACATGCAGGAACTCAGCTCTCCGATATGGGGATTCTGATTTTATAGATCTATGGTCAGGCCAGGATTGAAAACAACTGACTTGTATTTCAGCCTGAAAAGAACAAAAATTATCAATCAATATTACAATATTAAATAATGTACATCCTACCACTATGTACATTATAGGCAAGTAATGAACATTATTTAATACTGTAAAGCTTTGTTCTTGTTCTTTTTATCTCCATTGCCACTACCCAATCGAAACTATGCTTTACTAGCTTGATCTTACTGCAGAACCCACTGCTATATCCCTATCACCTAGAATTGCATCTTATACTGTCACTACTAGTTTAAAGATATTTGTTAATAATATTGATAAGTTTGTCAGTATCAACGTTAATAAGTTTAAATATTTCTTCACACATCTGAGTAACGTTAGGTACTAATGTTATTAACATCAATATTATTTAATATTGATAACTTTTATCCTTTCCTATCACTATCTACATCATTTACCTATAATGTACATTTTTCTTTTCTTTTTTCCTTTTTTTGTCTGAGACAGAGTTTCACTCTTGTTGCCCAGGCTGGAGTGCAATGGCACGATCTCAGCTCACCACAACCTCTGCCTCCTAGGTTCAAGCAATTCTCCTGCCTCAGCCTCCCGAGTAGCTGGGATTATAGGCATGTGCCACCACGCCTGGCTAATTTTTTTTTGTATTTTTAGTAGAGACGGGGTTTCTCCGTGTTGGTCAGGCTGGTCTCGAACTCCTGACCTCAGGTGATCCACCTGCTTCGGCTTCCCAAAGTGCTGAGATTACAGGTGTGAGCCACCACGCCTGGCCTTAATGTACATGTTTCTTCTGGGATAAGTGTTATCTTTTCCTATCCGTATATATCTATATTGTAATCTAGTAATGTAGTAAATAAAGAAAAATATAGTTTAAAAAGTCTTTATGTAATATCTGTATAAAGACAGAGTATAAGACTAAATTTTCAAAGAAAACAAGAAGGAAATAATTATAAATATATAGAGTGATCAGAAAAGAAGGGTTATTTGGAAAAGGAGAAAGAATAGGAATATTCTGCAAAGTATAACCTATTATATATCATATTATATAATACATTATATGAATATATAGAACTATACACACAGTTTCTATACGTAGTTTCTCAATCTTGACACTACTGACATCTTGAACAGATCATTTTTTCCTCACAAGATATGGGAACTGTCCTGTGGACTACAGGGTGTTAAGCTGCATTCCTGCCTCTACTAGATGACAGGTGCACTGCACCCACCCCTCCTCAGTTGTGACATCCAAAAATATCATCTCCAGAAATTGCAAAATGTTATCTTGGGGGGCAGGTATCGCCTCAGGTTGAGAATCACTGTGTGTGTGTGTGTATGTGAATCACTGTGTGTGTATGAATCACTGTGTGTGTGTGTACACGTGTGCACGCACATGTGCATGAATGAAACATGGAATAAAAAGAGCTAGTGAGGTATAAAAAAATGGAATATGTGTATGTATAGATGATAGAAAAAAAAGGCTAAACGTTCAGATTATTACCCTGTATATAAGATGATCACCTTGGGCTACACTTCTTCTGTTACAAAGTTGTGAAATATTCATTATTTCATTCACCTAACAAATATTTTCAAACTGGTAGCAACAGTATAAGATGCTATTCTAGGTGACAGGGATACAGCAGTGGGTTTTACAGGAAGATCAAACTAGCAAAGCTATTTAATTATAATTTGGATTGGGTGATGGCAGTAGAGACAAAAAGAACAAAAATGAACCATATCATTTGAGGGGACGGGATGACCCAGGATGGCTCTGAGGTGCTCTTGGGCATATATGGAGATGGAACAAAAGTGCTGGAGAATGGAAGATGGTAGAAGAATTACTGACCCGAATCTGGATCCTTCAAACAGGCAAGCCTCCTAAAGCCCCAACATGGTCTTACCTTCCAAATGACAGTCTTTTTCCCCACGTTGGCCTCCTGAGTCAAGGCGTCCTCCAACTCTTTCCTCATAAGTTCCAGAGCCATCTGGAGCTTTACCTGTTTGGGAACATTTCAGCTGTTACAGATGCCCTCAATCTGTACCTAACGTCACACAGATGTGTGAGGAAATACAAAAGTCAACTTAAACAGTCCCTAGAAAGCACATAAAAATGTTCAATATCATTAAAAACTAAACATAAATGTACTTAAGTTTTAGTGTCAGGGTCTCGCTCTGTCACTCAGGTTGTGCAGTGTTGCGATCATGGCTCACTGCAGCCTCAAACTCCTGGGATCAAATGATCCTCCCACCTCAGCCTCCCAAGCAGCTAGGACTCCAGGCACACATCATTACATTCAGCTAATTTTGTTTTCTGTAGAGATGGGGTCTTACTATATTGCCCAGGCTGGTGTCAAACTGCTGGCCTCCAGAGAGTCTCCCATCTTGGCCTTCCAAAGTGCTGGGATTATAGGCATGAGCCACTGGGCCTAGCTCCTTAAATGTATTTTAATACCAGATACAATCAAATATTTATCTAAAAGTATGCTCACTGCATTGTTATATACGATAGCATAACTAAACTAAAACATTAAAGATAGGGGAGAAAAAAATTATATTAACTGGATAGAATTAAAATAAGATGTTACAGAATGTTTAATGACTAGAAATACAATGATAATGTCCAATGAATAAAAATATTTTACAAAACAACATGAATTTTGAAAAAAAATGTGCTGGTAATGAATATATTAAAACTGGGCTGATGTAAATGAGAATGATATTAGATAAAATGTCATCTATTGGTGTTTGGATGAAGAGTGATGCTATTATATCTCTATATTTCATATATTTCTCTATATAACTATATTTATACATTTCTCTATATTTATATATTTCTCTATATAACTGTATTCTGTATTTCTCTATATAACTTCAACTTCTTGAAGTTATTGGTTACTTTATGATAAAGCATGGGTTTATTATTGTAGTATTAGTAGTATTATTAGGTCAGAAGGAACTTGGTAGGTTATCATATTTTATATGAAAAAACACAGTATGTTGTAAACCTTGCAATGAGTAAAAATACAATGAGAACTAAATCTTCCTTCAATGATAGGGCGCTCACTAGAGGTAAATATGTGTATTTTAAATACTCACAAAGATACATACATAAACAGGATTTTAATTAAAAAATTATATTCCCAAAGTTACTCAATAAATCCTACATACACATCAATTGTTTTTAAAAGGAGAATATTATAATTGTTATATATAAAATAACAGTAGAATTCATGATACCATTTGACTCAGTGGGGAAAGTGGCATGTGTTTTGGTGTTTACAAAGAACGGAGCACTTTGACACTTGTAGATAAAGAAAAGCTCCCTCAGGCCAAAGAAACTGTCAGCAAAAGCAAGGAGATGTAGCACAGTTAGGAAAACAGTGATTCGGCTAAATTTGCTGGGTTTCCTGGCTGGTTAAGACAAGAGAGCTATGGAAACATAACTTAGGGCCCTAGAAAGCTTTCACTGAGAGGCTCAGGAGTTTAGATAATATTTATTTGGTATTTAACCGAAGAACTACTGAAAATATGGAGAACACCTTTAGAAATATTACACTAGAGGCTGGGCTGCCTGTAACACCAGCACTTTGGGAGGCCACGGCGGATGGATCACAAGGTCAGGAGTTCAAGACCAGCCTGGCCAACACAGTGAAACCCCGTCTCTACTAAAAATACAAAAATTAGCCGGGTGTGGTGACGCATACCTGTAATCCCAGCTACCCGGGAGGCTGAGGCAGGAGAATTGCTTGCACCAGGACCCGGGAGACGGAGGTTGCAATGAGCCGAGATTGCGCCACTGCCCTCCAGCCTGAGCTACAGAACTAGACTCCGTCTCAAAAAAAAAAAAAAAAAAAAAAAAAAGTTACTACCAATCCTCTTTCTGGACTTTTTTTAAAAAGGCAAGAACATTCCAGAAAAGTTTAGCTAGAAATTACCTAGTACTAGTACCTACATCTCGCAAATGACAACGAAAATCAAGAAGAAATACCAAGAGAGATATTGGTAGAGAAGGAAGGGGAAAATATCCTAAACCTTAATTTAAAACAAACAAAATAAATAAATAAAAATTTTAAGAAAGTATTTGCAATGCACTACAGCGCGACTGACAGTCCTTTGGTTAAATCTGTCAGTAAAGACGACTTAGACCTCCTCTGTGCTGGCAGTTGTTCTACATGCTGGGATTCAAGTGTGTTCAGAAAACATCCAAGAACTTTTGAAGGGCACCAGTAGGAAGAAATCGACACACAATTTCACAGATGCCACTCTGGGGACCAAATACTCCCATTTTGTTTTTCTTCTTTCTCTTTGAAGCTTCCCGGGCTACACCCCAAATGAAGCACCTCTTCATTGAGGATGTTCGAATCCTAAGTCCCCAAATCCCTGCTGATGGAGAGCCACCCGCTCCTACTTCAGGAGGCACGTGCACCTGAGCTTTGGAGGGGTCGGAACCCGTACCCAGCTCGACACTCTTCTTAACAACGCCCAAACCCGAGGGTTGCTTTGCTGACAACACTCATTTAATGTAAACACTGTGCAAAAGCAAAGCATTGCACAAATGAGAATTATTATGGCAAGTTTACGATATAGACGTACAATTGTTACCAAGAATGAACTGGACCACACAGCCCTCCCGACCAGAGCCCAGCTGAGGGACCAGACTATCCGCATCGGGAGAAACCAGCCCAGCGCGAGTTCGACGACAGGAGAGTGCTTGGGGGAGGGGCGGACGGTGTAAAATAATGGGTGTGTGTCGCAAAGGGGGTTACCACAGCCAAGGCAAAGAGACCCACACTGAGTGAGCCGCGTGGGCGGGGGGGACGGCGCGCGGTGGGGGGAGCGGCCGTGGGAGCCGCTCAGGAGACGGGTGGCCTCGGCGGCTCCGCTCCGGACTGTCGCCCGCTTCCCGGTCACCGCAGCGCCCGCAGCCCCCGCCGGGGGGCGCCTCACCTGGTAGCTGCCGGCGGCCTCCTGCAGCGGCGCCGTGCGGTGCGTCCTGTGCTCGGGGCCGGCGTCGCACACCCAGCACAGCGCCGCCTCGTCCTCCTCGCAGAAGCGGCTCAGGTCCTCGCCGTGCCGCGCGCATCGCCGCGCCCCGGGCCCCGCGCCCAACCCCAGCCGCCGCACGCTCTCCACCAGGCCCGCCAGCTGCCGGTTGGGGCGAAAGCCCGAGGGCCGGAAGGGGCCCCGGCACTGCGGACAGGCGTAGACGCCGCCCTGCGCGCCGTCCGACTTCTCGCAGAACTCGGAGATGCACCTGAGGCAGAAGCTGTGGCCGCAGTCCACGCTGACCGGCTCCTGCAGGAAATCCAGGCACACCGGGCACCGCGCATCCTCGCGCAGCCGCTCCCCGGGCGGCGCCCAGGCCATGACCCGCCTCCCGGAGGGCTGCGCTCCCGGCCGCCCGCACCGTCTCCCCTCGCGGTCTGCACAGGGGGAGGAGCCCACGCCCCAGGAAAGCAGGCGCCGACGGGTGGTGTCCGCTGGCTTCAGTTCAAGAGCTCAGACGAGCCACACCCGGTGAAAAGCCACCACTCAGGCGCTCCCTATGTCGGGGATAAAATTAACGTTGTGGTTCCCCGCCCCCGTCACACACACACCCAGGAAACTGGGCATTTCTAACTGGAATCCCTCCTCATATGCTATTTTCACTGGCAGTAGATCTGGAGAATTGCTAAATTCCCTCCTTCCTTCCATCTTTGTTTGTTTGTTTTTGTTTTTGTTTTTTTGAGAGGGAGTCTCGCTCTGTCGCCCAGGCTGGAGTGCGGTGGCGCGATCTCGGCTCACTGCAGCCTCCGCCTCCCGGGTTCAAGCGATTCTCCTGCCTCAGCCTCGCAAGCAGCAGGGATTACAGGCGCCCGCCACCATGCCCGGCTAATTTTTGTATTTTTAGTAGAGACGGGGTTTCACCATTTTGGTCAGCCTGGTCTTGAACTCGTGACCTCAGGTGATCTGCCCGCCTCGACCTCCCAGAGTGCTGGGATTACAGGCGCGAGCCACCGCGCCCAGCCTCCATCATCATTATATAGATTTAGTGCAGATTTCTGGGGTACCAGTGCAGTTTTGTTACATGGAGACACTGCATAAAGTCTAGGCTTTAGCGCAGGCATCGCTGTGATAGCGTAAATTGTTCTCATTAGGTGATCTCTCATCCCTCGCCCGCCTTCCACCCTCCGAGCCCCTTCCATTGTTACTGAGCTACTCCATGGTCCTCTCATGCCATAATCGTTTCTTAAAAGGCTTTCCCCCTTTATATGGCATAATCAATTTTTAAATGTTTTTTTCAAACTTCATTTTTTTCTCTTGCACTAATTACCTCTTGATAAAGAAATGAGACACCGCCTGACACGGGAAGATGCCTGCATAGGTGTGTGTAACTATAGGTTTACAGCCCAGCCAAAAATAATTCTAAATATTTAAATAAATATCTGGCCTAGTTCAATGAGGATCCTACAAGGAATACACACATGTTGTAGGATTGTTGCAAAGCCAGTCTTGGAGATGACAAAGCTATAGAGATACTCATCAGAGGAATAATTCAAGCTTAGCCTCTCAGTGGTGTACCTGTCAGATGGGGGAGGCTGAGACAGGAGCAAAATGATTTGACAGAGTATGTTACTTCATCCAGTGGAAGGCTGAATCAGGATAAAGTACATTAAAGTCTCTAATGTCGTCCAGAAAGTCGACAAGTCTGAGGCAGTGTCTGCATCTGTGCAAAATAACTTTAGTATGGTCGAGTTTGAAGTGATGGTGGGGTGTACCTGTGGCAAATCAATCTGTCCCTGAGCACACATTGTGTCTGTTTGTAGCCAGGAGTCTCAGACATTGCACCGGGTACTGAAAATACACATGTTAAGGAAAAGAGGTGGGACCCCATTTCTCCAGGAGCCTTAAGATCAACTAGAAGAGGTGGATATGAAATCATGCAAACATATAATTACAAACCAATAACTGCAAGGAAGGTCGCTCACCAGTCCTGCAGGAATATAACAGAGGACTCTGAATGAGGCTGCAGGGTCGGGGGCAGACACCTGAGGTCTCTGAGCAAACCTCTGATAGGTGAACACAAGCTGGCCAGCGGGAAGGGGGGCTCCGCAAGGCCGTGCCCCCAGAAGCCATGAAAGGTACAAGGTAAACTTCAGCAGGTGGGAGCAAGACATACCCAGATGACAGTGAGAAGCCAGGCAGGCTGGCAAGCTGGGCCAGAATATGGTGGCAGCAGATAAGGCTGCAGCAAGAGGCGGGGCCAGATGACTCAGGTCCTTGGGGATCCTCTGGGGTTTGTGGGTCTTCATTATAAGGACAAACTCTTGGGCTGGATCTCTGGCGACAGGCAGAGCAGAGGATCTTGAGGCCTAAAGGTTAAGTGCGCAATTAAAGCGAATAGATTCTTGGAGAACACACATGGATCTGTATTAGCAAAACACGAAAGATGTGGCATTAGAGAAAAAAGCTAAAGAGCAGAAGGCTTAGCAAAGAAAAACAGACTCTGGCTCCGGACTAAGGGCTGTGGCACTTGCTGAGAAGCTTGAGGCAAGCTGTGCCGCGTTTCTGCCCTGCATTTCTTCTGACGTGCAGTGAAGAGGTGTTAGTGTCATTCATATAAGGCCTTTCAGAGTATTAAACGAGCTAATAGATAGTAGACACTTAATATAGGTCCTGGCATGTTGGAAATACACACACACACACACACACACACACACACACACGTATATATATTGAGACAGGGTCTTGCTCTGCTGCCCAGGCTATAGTGTAGTGCCACAACCTGACTCACTGTAGCCTCTACCTTTCAGGCTCAAGTGATCTTCTCACCTCAGCCTCCCAAGTACCTGCGACTACAGGTGCCCGCCACCACGCCCAGCTAATTTTTGTATTTTTTGTAGAGACAGAGTTTCGCCCTGTTGCCCAGGCTGGTCTCAAACTCCTGGGTTCAAACAATCTCCCCACCTTGGCCTCCCAAAGTGCTGGGATTACAAGTGTGAGCCACCTCGCCCGGCCATGTAGCAAATATATTTAATTGAAGAAAAGGAAATGAAATAGTGAAGTGAATGGAAGGATGGTGAGTCAAAAGGTAAGCTACATTAGGAAGAGAGATTTTTTTCTATTTTGTTCACTGCTCTATCTATCCCCAGGACCTTGAAGAGTAACTGGCACAAATGGACACTCCACACATACTAACTGATTAAACAAGTTAATAAGTAAATGAACAGAATTAGGACAGTTTATCATAGGAGCTAATGAAAGAGGGAAGTTCAAAGATGATTATATTATGTCAAATGTCAAATCCATGTTTTTCTGCATTTTACATATATGATCTTGCCCTGGCTCTCCATAACTCTGGCAGATGCTGGAGCATTTTTCTATTTTGCAGGCATAACGAGACACAGTAAAACAATCCATTTACTCAAATATATGGGCCAGTTGATAACTAGGCTCACTTAAATTCAGATTTCCTAGTGCCTGTGATCCTAAGGAAAGGCCCCTGGCTTCTGACGTTGGGGGTCACTGTGGTTTTCAGTAGGGTGTGACGGAGTGGGCGAGCTCACTTCTTCCCCTGCTGGTCCTAGAGTTGCTGAGCTTAAACTGTTTTGTCTCTGACACTGGTTGACTAGGAATGACATCGGTACCATTGTTCTTAGAAACACACATTTCCCTTACAGCACGTCCATGCAGGTAAGTTGTGGACTGGATTATATCCAGATGTCATTGTATTTACAAATGCTATGTGGAGTGCCTCGCCAGGCAGTTTCTGGTTTAATGGGAATACTCTAACTTAAATTTGTATTTTCTCATGAGCTTTCTTTTGGCGTAAATAAAGCACCTCTTGGTTTATGCCAATACGACCAAATTCTAATGCACCCCACTCCTTAATTTATAGGCTAACTCCACCCTGTGACTCATTTACAGGTTGCAGAGTTGCAAATCTTTTAGCTAATACCACCTGCAACCATCCTCCTTCTCTAATATTCCTCTTCAGTTGTGTCCTGCCTTCTGTGACATCTTTAAAATATGGGATCTGCCGTCATCTGACCATTATTCCTCCCTGCTCTTTTTTGTAATTTCTTTGGTATCATGGCTTTGGGCTCCTGAAACCATTTCTTCAGGACAGCAATATTTTCTTCCCTACTTTGAACCCTTTTCACAGAGTTTCTCAGCTCTCCATGGCCAAACCCTTTGCCTCAGCTTTGGGGATTCACAATCTCCTAGCTCCATAGCCCCCAAATCAGCCCAATTTGTTACCAAAAACCAGGAGTTCGGTCTAGGTCCTGCTGCTCTCCACACAGAAAGCCAATCACTGAGACAACGATTATTGCCAAAGAAGAAGCTTTTAATCAGGTGCTGCAGCAGAGGAGATAGGAGCTCAGTTTCAAATCCATCTCCCTGACTGACTAAAATTAGAGGCTTATATAGAGGCAGGGAAGAAATAGCACACTGTGTGGAAAAAGAGGAACTAGGGAGGGGTAAGGAAGCAATCATGTTGAATAAGCGGACTGGACTGGCATCTCATTAACTGGTTGAGATGACCTGGGGTGATCCGGTAAGTTTCAGTTCTTTGTTACTTTACTTTTCAAGAGGGCTGGTGGTCCTTTCCTGAGGAAGGAACTCAGATAAAACAAAAGTAAGTTTCAAGCTCTAAGACCAGAAGGGTCAAATTCTCTCTCTCTCTCTCTCTCTCTCTCTCTCTCTCTCTCTCTGTGTGTGTGTGTGTGTGTGTGTGTGTGTGTGTGTCTATAGGACTATTGGGTTGGCAAATTCACAATGCCAAAAATAAAAGCACAGCCCTCAAGACTAGCAGCCGCTGACTCAGCATTTCCTCCCTGCTTCTGGCTTTAAAAGGACCTCATTCACGCAACTGAACCCTGCATTTTTTTCTCTTTTTCTTTTTTCTTTTTTTCTTTTTTTTTTTTTTTTTTTTTTTTTGAGAGAGTCTTGCTCTGTCACCCAGGCTGGAGTGCAATGGTACGACCTCGGCTCACTGCAACCTCTGCCTCCCGGGTTCAAGCGATTCTCCTGCCTCAGCCTCCTGAGTAGCTGGGATTACAGACACATGCCATCACGCCTGGCTGATTTTGTATTTTTAGTATGACTGGATGTGGCTCCCACTCAGGTGGCAATGCAGGGAAAGAGATCATGGCTAATTTTGTATGCTATGCCAAACAGTTTAGTCTTTATTGGTAGGCAATGGATATCAATGACACTCACAATTATCACCACTGGATGTGGTATATAGACCCTACTTTTCTCTTTCCCAGTGGTTGCCAGCATTGACATCCTGTGGATTACTGTGAATTAGAGGCTTTGTCTGTCCGAATGATGCTCTAGGGTGGCTGGGGTGGTTGGAATGGGACAGCAAAGTTGTGGGGTTTTCTGATAGCCTTTGGAGGCAGCCCAGATCCAACTGTATTTGCATAGATCGCATTGTTCCAGCTGATAAATGCACAAACACCCATAGTAGGCCTCTCTAGCCACTTCTCCAAGGAAAGCCCACAAAAGCTCTCCAATGAGTTTGAAGTGATCCCTCAACACCCCCTTGCTATCTCTATTCTGTGTAAAATGAGGAGGAGAAAGGCACTGAGGCATTTTTCCAGATATACAGACTTCTGCAATGAATCTGCAATGAATGGGCTAATATGGATCCAGTGTTCCATATTGTGTTAAATCCGTTTGTGTAAATCCTATTGTGTAAATCAGTTTGATACAAAAAATACGTATTGGCTCTTCATAGTTATATGACATGCGTTAAGAATGTCTGTGAATTCAAGAATCTTCCGCAAACACACTCCATAGCACAAGAAGACAAAATGCCATGAGTTATAAAAGAGTATTTTCTCCTGCTTTATATAAGATTTAAAGAAAGATAAGAAGCATATATATTTGATTAATTGATGGCAGGGTAGGAAGAAAAGCAGGAACAAATCTTCCTAGATGAAAATGCTGATAAGAAGTACCAATCCACATGGCTCCATCTCCAACACTCTCCCAGGGCCCTTGCGGAACGGCTTTCCTTGTCAACTCCCTCTCCCTCTGACCTTGTCTACCACTCAGCAGTAGAAGTTCTCTTCAATTCGTGTATCAGGTCTCTCCCTCATTTGTCCCTCTTACTAGCTCCTGAATTACTTAGCAGAACCAGAAACTTTGCATCATTCCCATAACTAATATTTACACGTTTCCTTAGATGCCCTTTGAACTAGATTCCACTAATACAATCCCCGCAATTTCCGTAACTGTCTTGAAAGCAGTGCATTAAACTGAAATTCAGACAATGAAGCTGCAGCTGACCTGCCTTCAGACAATAGTGCTCTAATGCACCCTTCCTCTGACCCTGGTGCGTTATGTAAGTCTTTCTGCCTATGCCTTCTGCGACGAAAAGGGTCCTTTTATAAGGCTTATATAAAGCATTATACATGGAGTGTCTGGAATCTAATACACACTCAACAAATGCTCATCCAAACCCTTGGCTTCCCAATCAATTAATCCACATGGAAGAAAGAAAAGCAAATGCAAATCTTTGGGGACATATTTTTTGTTTAATTGTCTGCAGGGCTAATTCTTCTGAAGTTTCCTTATTTCCATTGTGTGTTTTACCTGGAGATATACGGAAGTGAGGACTTTCTCCCCAATTAGGTGCCAGGAGGTTTGTGAAGATAACAACAGATTATCTGAGAACTTTAAGATGTGGCTGACTGAGAAGGAATAATTGTTGATTTCTAGATTGGATATTTACCTTTTGTGGCTGGTTGTTTCAATTAACTCACCAGTTTTATTCAATTATTGGATTCCAAAGAGTTGTTCTAAGTTAAAAACAACCATCTTGCCCAAGATTG